>NC_000002.12:91954236-92138145 GCF_000001405.40 Homo sapiens
TATGAATCAAATCACAACAAATAAACAAACATTATAACATGCGGCTTATACTCTGTAACCAAAATGCAATTTATAAGAGAAAAAAATGTAAATTTCTTTCATCTTCAAACTGAAGTTATACCTTAAATAATTTTTCAGTCAAAGAAGACACGAAAACAAAAATCAGAAGATATTTGGAAGTGAAATACTACATAACAAAACTTGTGAGATAAAGCTGAGGCAGTACTGAAAGGGTAATTTATATCTTTAAATTTTTATATTGAAAAATAGGCTGAAAATTAGTTAAGTGTCCACCTTAGGAAGTTTGGAAAGAGAAAAAGAGATTGGGCATGGTGGCTCAGGCCTGTAATCCCAGCACTTTGGGAGGTCAAGGAGGGCGGATTACCTGAGGTCGGGAGTTCAAGACCAGCTTGGCCAACATGGTGAAACTCCTGTCTCTACTGAAAATACAAAAATTAGCTGGGTGTGGTGGTGGGTGCCTATAATCCCAGCTACTCGGGAGGCTGAGGCAGAAGAATTGCTTGAGCCAGGGAGGCAGAGGTTGCAGTGAGCCGAGATTGGGCCACTGCATTGCAGCCTGGGCAACAGAGCAAGACTCTGTCTAAAAAAAAAAAAAAATTGGAGTAAACCTAAATAAAATAAATTAAAGGCAATAAGGCTAAAAGTAGAAATAGACATTAATAAACTATAAAACAAAGAAACAATAGGCAAGATTCACAAAACCAAATGCTGATTCTTTGAAAAGAATAATAAAATAGGCACTCTTCTGGTAACATTGATTAATTAAAAAGAGAAGGTATAAATAAGCAATATTAGGAATAAAAAATGAAGTGTAACATAAAATATGAGTGAAAAAATAATAAACGGAATACTATAAATGACTATATGACAACAGTCTAAAAACATAAGTGAAATGAACAACTTCGTTGGCTACTAGAACTTATAAACACTTAGTCAAGAAGAAATGGGACACCTGAATATTCATGTATCTATTTTTAAAAATTCAATCAGTAAATACTTTCTCATAGAAAACACCCACTAGTATGAGATACTTTAATATGAAAGTTCTACCAAACATTCAAAGAACATATAAATAAGCACTATCATATCAAAATAATTTCAGAGAATGGAAAAAGAGGGAACACCTTCAATTCATTTTGTGAGGCTAACATAAATGCAATATAAATATTTAAGATCATTATAATCCAAGAAAATTGGAGGCCAAACTAAGCTTAGATACAAACATCTAAAATAAAATAATAGTAAATCTAGTAATGTATTCTAAAAAAAATTCTGGACCAGTTGGGTATCTCAGGAATAGAAGCAAATGTTTAACAGTTTGCCCAAGCAGCTTTTATTTTATTTTATTATTTTTAAAGAGACAGGGTCTTGCCCTGTTGCCTGGGTTGGAATAGTGGCACTATCATATATCTCACAGCATCCTTGAACTCCTGGGTTCTAGGGACCCTCTGCCTTAGCCTCCTGAGTAGCTGGGGCTACAGGCACACACCACAATGTCTAGCTAATTTATAAAATTTTTATTTTATAGAGATGAAATCTCACTATGTTGCCCAAGCTAACCTCAAACTCTTGGCTTCAAATGATTCTTCCACCTTGGTGCCCCGAAGTGTTGGGATTACAGGCATCAGTCATGGCACCTGGCATGAGCAGGTTTTAATAAGTCACCCCATGTTTGGATAATTTCTAACATTATTAATATTACTTTCCCAAAGCAGAAGCCAGGAACACAAGTTTTTAAACTTTCTTTGTCATGAAGGCATAGACACATGATGAACACACTGCTACTGACATTAACTTCTGCTTTTATCTGCATAGCTGGTACCTCCAGGAAAAGGAGAGGAATGAGGTTGGAAAATAGTACACAGGAAGCTTCAACTATATCTATAATGATTATATATATATATATATATATATATATATATATATATATATATATATATATATATATATATTTTGAGGCTGGAGTGCAGTGGCACAATCTTGGCTCACTGCAACCTCTGCCTCCTGGGTTCAAGCGATTCTCCTGCCTCAGCCCCTTGAGTAGCTGGGACTACAGGTGCATGCCATGATGTCTGGTTAATTTTGTATTTTTTAGTAGAGATAGGGTTTCACCATGTTGGCCAGGCTGGTTTGAACACACAACCTCAGGTGATCTGCCCGCCTCAGCCCCCAAAGTGCTGGAATTACAGGCATGAACTACCGTGCCTGGCCAGATAATGTTTAAATTGGAAGGTTGTATGCATAAATATGATATCTTGGACATTGATGAGACCACATAGACAAACTATATAAAAGGAAAAGAGGAAATGGCCCAGGTCTAAATCCTGAGTGATATTTCATATTTAGAAGTTAGGAAAAGAAGAATGGAATATGGAAGACAAGAAAGGAAGAAGCAGTGAGGGAAGAAGAAAACCAGTAAGTGGTGCCTCAGAATTAAAAAAAAAAAAAAAAGACAAGTGTTTCAATAAGAGAGTGATCATTGGCGTCAAAAGCTGCAAAGATCTTGAATACGATGCAGACAGAAACGTTCACTGGATTTGATTAATACACTTAGTCAGATAACAAAAAACCAGCAATTTCACCAGTTACGCTCCTTTTCGTACTCCAGACATGAAGGATAATATTCACTAGCCTATATAATATTCTAGGTCTTGAATGTCAAATAACATACCATAGGTGATTGTGTTAAATGTCAGAATATTTAAGGAATAATTATGTTGTAATATACAGGTCAGAGTGCATTTGTTGCTTGCTGGAGTAGTCAAGCTTTATTTCTGACAAGTCTGCAGTTCCAGGGAGCCTCTCCCTGGCTGAGTAACTCTCACCCATCCATCTGTCAGGGAGAGTTTGCTGTGCATCCCAAGTATCTTAGAATTGGGTAGAAGTTTAGCTTTAATTAGTTTGACCTTGAGTCTAGCAACAGGAGAGGGAACAGGCAGGGAAGAGGTCGTGAATGATGTCCCAGCAGCAGGAGACAGGGAGTGTCATTATCATTCCTGGTCTTCTCACAGTACTCTGCATACAGAGAGTGAGGAAGATTAGGGGGCCCTGTCTGCTGACTCCCTGATGATCTCAGACCCTCTCTGCTCTTTCTGGATGGTGACCTGTTAATCCTGGCATACTATTACTGATAATATATTTATCCTTTTCACTGTGATTTGCCCAGTTGTTGCTTTAGCACTGGACCTTGTCAAGAAGTTGTTGGTAGTGGATCCAAAGGCACGTTTTATGACAGAAGAAGCCTTAAGACACCGTGGCTTCAGGTGGGTGTGGGACAGTGCCTGCAAGCATAAAATACTTGGGAAGCCCTGCTGCCTGAGAGACATGAGACAGAGGACAGAAACATGTTTAGTCTGTTTAATCTAATTGTTTTAGATGTATGGGGGGTATCTTGGAGGATGGGTTACAACCTGTCTTTTTTTTTTTTCTTTTTTGAGACAGGTTCTCATTCTGTCACCCTGGCTGGAGTGCAGTGGCACGATCTCAGCTCACTGCAAACTCTGCCCCCTGGGTTCAAGTGATTCTCCTGCCTCAGCCTCCCAAGTAGCTGGGATTAAAGGTGCATGCTACCAAGCCCAACTACTTTTGTATTTTTTGTAGAGATGGGGTTTCACCGTGTTGGCCAGGCTACAACCTTTTTGATGTTACTCATGGCTGTTGGATGTACAAGCTCACTTTATGTCCTGTTCTGGTTCCACTTGGCTGCCCTAAGTCTCCAGTCTGGCCTGTGTTCTTTTGAGGGCTTGTTCTGGCTCTATCCCCAGCCATGTCCACTGCTCTTCATAGGTGGGGTGCATTCCAGCCATCTTCAACCTTAAATAAGGGAAGTGGGGGAGGGGGAGGAGGGCAGCCTCCCTGGGGAGAATCCAGCTATTTTTCAAGCCCAAGTGACTGGGTATAAAGGGTCCCACTGCTTGTTCATTCAGGTGAGTAAATGTGTCCTTAGTGAAGGCCATCACCTGCACCTTTCATCTGTGTTACTGCTGTGCTCCTGCTAGGGGTTGGGGCTGCCATTATTAAATGCTGACCTCATTTGGAACTGCCAAGAGTTAGAAGTACGTTTTGGCTTTGCTGGATTAATCTTTAGTTTTGGAATTAGCTACGCCATTGGGAAGGTTTTCTGATAGATGTCTGGTCTTCTGTAACGAGCAGTTCCATTCAACACAGCCATGTCCCTTTCTATTAATCTTCTTTTGGTCTGTGTATCAGTCTGTTTTCACACTGCTATAAAGAACTGCCCAAGACTGGGTAATTTATAAAGAAAGGAGGTTTAATTGACTCACAGCTCACATGGCTGGGGAGGCCTCAGGAAACTTACAATCATGGTGGAAGGGGAAGAAGGCATGTCTTAATGGCAGCAGGTGAGAGAGCTTGTGAAGGAAGTGAAGGGCGAAGATCCTTTTATGAAACTGTCAGATCTCGTGAGAACTCACTATCACGAGAATAGCCTGGGGGAAACTGCCCCCATGAGCCAATCACCTCTCAACAGGTCCCTTTCTCAACACTTGGGGATTACAATTTGAGATGAGATTTGGGTAGGGACATAAAGCCAACTGTATCAATCCGTTTTCTGTGGAGATGGGGGACAGAACTGGTAGCTTGAGCTAGAGGCTGTTACTTGAGCTAAATGCTGTTTCTCTGGGGATTACTGGTCCAGGAACTCCTTGGGCAATCCAGCCTCAGCCCCGTACTTCTGGGACTCTAGGAAGACTCTCCCCATTCTCTGTTCTAATACTCTACACCTAACAGTTTTGCTCAGGTCAGCTCAGGTTGAGAACAACAAAAACTTAAAAAAAAAAAAAAAGACAGATATATGTGTTTTGGATGTTGCCCTGGAAACTACAGTCTCCCCAGAAGAAATCTGTCAGATGATTTAGCATTTAATAGACCACACAGATTTGAAACAGCGGGACCTTGGAGGAAAGGGCTTTGGAAACAAAGGGTGCCTTTGCATGTGAGGATTTTAATTTTGATGAAAAAGAGAAACATGTCTTTTGGCTCTTTTCATGTGTCCTAATAGGGAAACTCTTGGGTCTAAATGTATAGGTACAGGAGCTGTGTTCATCTCTAGCAAAAAAACAGAGCTGGCCTATTGAGCCTGGGAACAGGGTTTGCATCTGTCTGAAATTTATGAGCAAGCGTAGCCCATTTTTCTTGTACTTCTTCGTCTCAAAGAAAACTTATTAACAACCAAGGAGAAGGTGAAGTTCAACTCTGTTGCAGGATCTCCCTGGAATACTCTTTTAGCCACCTTTTGTTTTTGCAGTAAAAGGAGGAATGAGCATTGAATGAAGACAAGGATGAAGACTATGAAGACTGACCATCTAAAACATCTGTTAGTGATAGTTTGGGTTTTATTTTGGGAAAATTCAGTGTTTTCACAAAAACCAAATGGTTTTGTGGGTCTGGCGCTGGACTGAGTGTTGGGAATGTGGATTCTGGTCTCTGTTTTGTCATTAACAGAGTGCCCAGTTTTGGGAGCATCCCTTACATCTACTGTCTGCCTCATATTTACTGCCTGAAATAGAGGATTTCTTCTGTTTGCTTTCAAGGGATATTATAATTTAATTTTTATTTTATTTATTGTTGGAGACAAGGTCTTCTTCTGTTGCCTAAACTGGAGTGCACTGGTGCAATTATAGCTCACTGCAGCCTCGACCTCCTGGCCTTAAGTGATCCTCCCGCCTCAGCCTCACAAAGTGCTTGGATGATAGGCACAAGCCACTGTTCCTGGCTAATTTAATATTTTGGAATAATTGTAGACATCATGAAGAAAATCAATGTTTATTTATTTATTTCCTTTTTTGAGATGGAGTCTCGCTTTTGTCTACCAGGCTGGAGTGCAATGGTGTGATCTCAACTCACTGCAACCTCCACCTCTGGGTTCAAGTGATTCTCCTGCATCAGCCTCCTAAGTGGCTGGGATTACAGGTGCCTGCCACCATGCCCAGCTCATTTTTGTATTTTTAGTAGAGATGGGGTTTCACCGTGTTGGTCAGACTAGTCTCAAACTCCTGACCTCAGGTGATCCACCCACCTTGGCCTGCCAAAGTGCTGGGATTCCAGGCATGAGCCACTGTGCCTGACCTGATTACTTATTTTAAATATAGGCCTGATTAGGCTTGTGGCCACTCTGTTTGGCTTCACTGAAGGGCTGCCAAGAGATGGACTTTTGAGAGTGACACTGCAAGATAATTGAGATCCTAAGTAAGGCTGTGAGAGGGTGCAGAGAGGAATCCAGATGAGCTTGCTGCTGTCACATGGCAATGGGGAGCTACACTGAGAAACTCAAAACAGAGTGACCTCAAGTGATGTGCCCTGCCTTGGCCTCCCAAAGTGCTGGGATTACAGGCGTGAACCACTGTGCCTGGTCCTCCTTTCCTTCTTTCTTTCTTCCTCCTTCCTTCCCCCTCCCCTCTCCTCC
Organism: Homo sapiens; assembly: GCF_000001405.40. Lineage (NCBI taxonomy): Eukaryota > Metazoa > Chordata > Mammalia > Primates > Hominidae > Homo > Homo sapiens. The sequence continues at coordinate 91,960,682 of NC_000002.12, forward strand.
ATTTCTTTCCCCTCCCCTCTTTCATCCTCCCTCCCTTTTTTCTTCCTTGCTTCTTTCCTTCCTTCCTTCCTCAGGGTCTTGCTCTCTCACCTAGGCTGGAGTGCAGTGGCATGATCACTGCACCATCACTTTCAGGCTTAAGTGATCCTCCTGCCCCAGGCTCCCAAGTAGCTGAGACTACAGGCGCATGCCATCATGTCTGGTTAATTTAATTTTTTTTTGTTTGTTTGTTTGGAGACAGAGTCGTACTCTTTTGCCCAGGCTGGAGTGCAGTGGTGTGATCCTGGCTTACTGCAACCTCCGCCTCTCGAGTTCAAGCGATTCTCCTGCCTCAGCCTCCTGAGTAGCTGGGATTACAGGCATGCACTACCACGCCTGGCTAATTTTGTATTTTTAGTAGAGACAGGGTTTCACCATGTTAGCCAGGCTGATCTCAAACTTCTCACCTCAGGTGATTTGCCCGCCTTGGCCTCCCAAAGTGCTGGGATTACCGGCGTGAGCCTCCATGCCTGGCGTAATTTTTAAATTTGTTTTGTAGTGACAAAGTCCCACTATATTGCCCAGGCTGGTCTCAAATTCCTGGCCCCAAGAAATTCTCCCACCTTGGCCTCCCAAACTGCTGGGATTATAGGCATGAGCCACCATGCCCAACCTAGTGTTGTAAAATTTCCATATCCATCAAATTGCCAAAAGGTGGAGGACTTTGCTGTATCCTCTCCCTTTCCCCACTGTGGTATGCTTGGCTCAGTGGAAGGAGGGGCTGGAGTTGGGTGGGAAAGTACATGAGGCATTGGAATCAGATAACTCTGGGTCTGTATTCTGCACATGCCACCTGTGAGTGGCTGAGCTGGGCTTCTGGCCAACACTCAAAGGCCACATTCCTAGTTATAGATGGTCCTTTCACCTTGCTGAAGATGGGGAGAGCTGCACCAGACCACCTCTCAGGGTTTCCTAATGCAAATCCTTGAACCCTGCAGAAGTAAGCATCCAGAGAGGTGGGAGCTACTCGTATACACACCGTCTGTTCCCTCCTCATCTCCCGCTTCTGCAGCATGAAACACCTGTAATGCTTTGTTCTGTTTATTGTCTCCCTTTCTCATTAGACCTGAGCTCTGGGATATTGTGGGCTTAAGTACTTCTGAAAATTTGTATGGCATCTGCTGGGTGAATTTTCCTAGGGTGCTGGGCTGGTTGTTAGGACAGCCTGGGTGACTGGCCTCATTCATGGCAGGGGCAGCAGGTGGAGAGTGGTCCCGGAAGGATTTGAAGAGCTGCATGGAGTCAGGCCCAGCCCCTGGCCCCCTGATTGTCACCTTTCTCAGGATCTGGGATGCTAATTCAGAAACTCTTGACTGCTGGAGGCTGTGATTGACCCACTGAGAGCTTTTAGGCATGTGGAGGTGAGTCAGCCAGTGATGGAGCATTGACTGCTAATTGGACTCCTCTGGGAAGGTAGAGGGGGCAACACATAATGCCTTCGCTGTGGGAGCTTCATCAAGGGGATGATTCTTGGACGGACATCTTTTCCTCCCTCTTTCCACAGGGGCATGCCACCCCTGTCATTCTAGGATTTTATTATCCTTCAGACACAGCTACTTATGTTTTTAATTCCCTCACATTATGAAGACATGAAGAGAAAGTTTCAAGATCTTCTGTCTGAGGAAAATGAATCCACAGCTCTATCTCAGGTTCTAGCCCAGGTATTCGTATTCCTGATGATCACTAAATGTAGTCTGGGCTTAAGGAGCTGATAAGCAAAGATGATGAAATTCAAGATTTTCCTGAGTAGCAATTGCTTAACATTGTTTCAGTTATAATGTAGTAGAAACTCTGTTTGAACTTGATTCACTCCAGCACCCTTAGATTTAAAAATGCAGGATATGTTTAATGTCTAACACATAATAGACAGATAAACACAGCTAGGGATTGTCATCCAAAAGGTCACCTGCAAGGCAATTTCGAAAGACTCTATTAGAGGCTCAAATATAAATTTGTTGGAAAAATTAAAATTTGAGTCAGTAGTTGATTTCTTGATTACAATTTTATTCTTTAAAGTTCTTTGTGAGTATAAGTTAATTCCAGTCCTGCTTTTTTGTTGTTGTTGTTGTTGAATGGTAGCTGTCCTTTTTCCCACTGTTTCCTCCCCCCTGATTTTTTTTTCTTGAGACAGAGTCTTAGTCTGTCACTCAGACCAGAGTGCAGTGGTGCAATCTCAGCTCACTGCAACCTCTGCCTCCTGGGTTCAAGCAGTTCTCCTGCCTCAGTCTCCCGAGTATCTGGGACTACAGGTGTCCGCCACTGTGCCCAGCTAATTTTTGTATTTTTAGGTGAGATGGGGTTTTGCCATGTTGGTCAGGCTTGTCTCGAACTTTTGACCTGAAGAGACCTGCCCACCTCGGCTTCCCAAAGTGCTGGGATTACAGGAGTGAGTCACCACACCCAGCCTTCCTCCCAATTTTGTATATGGGAAAACAACTAAGGCACAAAGGTTGTCTTCCCACAAAAGACCAAGACTTGGGGCTTCAACTGAGAGGTATTGTAGCCCTTTTAAACTTGATATTTAGAAGAGGATGATCAAGAGGAAGTTGGTTATGCTACTTGCTTTCAGTATACATCATTCAGGGGTCAGAAGCCATAGGGAGAGAAATATCTATTAGATAAGCATGTCTGAGTTGCGGGCTACAGTGAGGACTCAGTTGTCAATTATGACAACCAGTAATTTTTGGTACTAGAATTTCACATCAAATACCCCCACTTTACTGGAAGTACATTGAGGAACTTTGATAATCTTAAAGAAGCCAGTGATTTTCTTTTGAACATTTCTCCATTTTCCTTTATTTTCAGCCTTCTACTAGTCGAAAGCGGCCTCGTGAAGGGGAAGCTGAGGGTGCTGAGACCACAAAGCACCCGGCTGTGTGTGCTGCTGTGTTGTGAACTCCGTGGTTTGAACATGAAAGAAATGTACCTTCTTTCACTCTGTCATCTTTCTTTTCTTTGAGTCTGTTTTTTATAGTTTATATTTTAATTATGGGAATAATTGCTTTTTCACAGTCGCTGATGTACAATTAAAAACCTGATGGAACCTGGGCTTTGTGCTTCTGCTTGATAATCAGTTCTTTAGTTGAATGGCTTTATTATTTATTTATTTGAGACGGAGTCTCACTCTGTTGCCCAGCCTGAAGTGTAGTGGTGCAAGCTTGGCTCACTGCAACCTCTGCTTCCCAGGTTCAAGCGATTCTCGTGCCTCAGCCTCCCAAGTAGCTGGGATTACAGTTATGCACCAGCATGCCAAGCTAATTTTTAAATTTTTTTGTAGAGACAGGGTTTTTCCATGTTGGCCAGCCTGGTCTTGAACTTCTGACCTCAGGTGATCCGCCTGCCTCGGTCTCTTAAAGTGCTGGGATTACACATGTGAGCCACTGTGCCTAGCCTGAATGGCTTTTTTATATTTAAAGTTGTTGTGTACCTTTCATCTGGAGCTACACCTTGGCTATCACTAGGCAGGTTTCCCAGGATGTCACCCTGGTCTCAGCCTGTGAGAGCTGAATACAAATTCTAAGGGCCCCTTGGAAAGTTCCAGGGAAAGGAGCATAGCGAGGTTGGGGGTGGAGTTTGTAGAGACTGGCTGGCTGGCTGCTGACATCTTCATGAGAACAGCAGGTACCTTGGTGCATAATAACAGGCCAGGTTATATTCTCATCCTTGCCCTCATAAAGATACAGGTCTACAGTCTTTGAAACCTTTGGGCTAGATAAGTTGTGAAATTTAATTACCCAATTTTAGGAAGGTGGTAAGGCATATCTACTATGTGTATGTGTAGCACCCCAGTGGAGTCCTACACATGTGGAGTCCTACCCCAGTGGAGACCAAACATGTTAATATTTCCACAGAAAATATTCACAGTAAGAGGGATAGAGAAAGATTATAGGTAGTTGCATATTGATTCATATCAGTCTTTTCTTCCAAATGAGCTACAATGACTCATTTTTGAGAGCTGTTTGGGTTTTGGAAGTGGAGATAAGGCATGGTTATGTCTTGTTGACCCAATAATGACTGGGGAGGCCCTGTGCAAAGACTTACCCTTGGCTGCTCTTGTCCTCACAGTGATTCTATGAATGAGGTCCTCTAGCCACTGTCATGTCACAGGTGAGGAAACCAAAGTTGGAGGATGAAGGTAAATTTTCTGATGTCGTGCAGCTGGTAAATGGCAGAGCTGGGACCCAACCCAGGTCTTTTTGACTCTAAAACTAATGTTCCTTATTGTCCACTGAATCTGCTTTTATAACTTTGCTTGGTTGATTCTAGGACACTTTGTAGCTCGCTGGCCATGCCATGAATTGAGTGCCACTGTTCAAAGGCCACTGGCGATTCAGTCAAGGCAGGCTCAAGGGCACACAGCCATTTCCTTAGGAAATGGGGATGGTGGTTGGAAATATCTATTAAAGGGTATATAAGCATTCTGAGACTTGGCTGGCCTGGTGTAGGGGGTTTGTTGGGAATTTAGGTGGTTTGCATGTTTAAAGGAATAAGGCTGAGATTGCCAATTAGATAGGTTTTAGCTCATTTGAATATTTAACGTGGAGGCTGTGGTTTCCTGGGACATTTTTCCCACTGTGGAAAGTTAGCCAGCTTTTCTCTGTTTCTTTTTCTTTCTTTTTTTTTTTTTTAATCGAGATGAAGTCTCATGCTTGTCGCCCAGGCTGGAGTGCAATGGTGCAATCTCAGCTCACTGCAACCTCCACCTCCTGGGTTCAAGCGATTCTCCTGACTCAGCCTCCCGAGTAGCTGGGATTACAGGCACCTGCCACCATGCCCAGCTAATTTTTGTATTTTTAGTAGAGATGGGGTTTCACCATGTTGGTCAGGCTGGTCTTGAACCCTGACCTCAGGCAATCCCCCCGCCTCCCTCCCAAGGTACTGGGATTAGAGGCATGAGCTACCATGCCCGGCAACCCTTCTCTGTTTCCAGAGCATTTTGTATTAACTCCTTCTCATGATATCTTCCATGGCAGGCTGAATAATGGCCCCTCCAAAGTGTCCTCAACTTAATCCCTGGAATCTGTGACTGTGTTCCTTTCCATGACAAAAGGGACTTTGCAGATGTGATTAAGCATCTTGAGATGGGAACTTATCCTATGTTGCCTGTGGGCCCAGTGTCCCATCACAGTGCTTTTTTTTTTTTTCTGAGATGGAGTTTTTAGCTCTTGGTGCCCAGGCTGGAGTGCAATGGCGCAATCTCGGCTCGCTGCAACTCCACCTCCCAAGTTTCAAGCGATTCTCTTGCCTCAGCCTTCCGAGTAGCTGGATTACAGGCGCTCGCCAACATGCCCAACTAATTTTTGTTTTTCCAGTAGAGATGGGGTTTCACCATGTTGGCCAGGTTAGTCTCGAACTCCTGACCTCATGATCTGCCCACCTTGGCCTCCCAAAGTGCTGGGATTACAGGCATGAGCCACCACATCCAGCCTACTGTGCTCCTTTAAGAGGGACTCAGCAGTCAGGGGAGATGGCAATGTGATGATGATTGAGTGTCTTAGTCTTTTTTGTATTGCTATGCAATATCTGAGACTGGGTAATTTATAAAGAACAGGTTTATTTCTTACAGTTCTGGAGGCTGGGAATGTCAAGATCAAGGGGCCTGCTTCTGGTGAGGGTCTTCTTGCTGTGTCATCCCATGATGGAAGGTATCACACCAAGAGAGACAGGGGGCTGAACTCAATCCTTTTATTAGCAACCCATCCCCATGATAATTAACCCTCTGCTGAGATAACATCAATACTCTATTAATGAGGGCAGATCTTTCATGACCTAATCTCCTCTTAAAGGTCCCACCTCTCAACACTGTTGCATTGGAGATTAAATTTCCAACACATGAACTTTGGGGGACACATTCAAACCATAGCACTGTGCAGAGATTGGAGTGGTGTGCTTTAAAAATGGAGGAAAGGGCCACAATTCAGGGTACATAGGTAACCACTAAAAGCAGAAAAAGGCAAGAAAACGGGTTTTCCCTTCAGAACCTCCTGAAGGAATCAGTCCTTTACAACTTGACTTTAGCCAAGTGAAACTGATTTGAGGCTTCTGACCTATAGAACAATAAGATATTAAGTCTGTGTTGATGTAAGCCAATCAGTTCGTGGTAATTTGTTACAGCAGCCATAGAAAACTAATTGACTCACCAATGGGAGAAATCAGCTGCTGGTTGAAGGCTACCAAACACCTACTTCCTTTCCTAACGTCACTTTAATTTTATCTTGGAGGAATTCTTTTCCCTATCCCATTAAGTTATGGGAGATGAGGCCAGGCATGGTGGCTTAGCAATCCCAGCACATTGGGAGGCTGAGGCGGGTGGATCACTTGAGGTCTGGAGTTTGAGACTAGCCTGGCCAACATAGTGAAACCCCATCTTTACTAAAAATACAAAAATTAGCCAGGTGTGGTGATGGGCACCTGTAATCCCAACTACTCCAGAGGCTGTGGCATGAGAATTGCTTGAACCCAGGAAGCAGAGGTTGCAGTGAGCTGAGATCGCACCACTGCACTCCAGCCTGGGTGACAGAGTGAGAATCCATCTCAAAAAAAAAAATTATGGGAGAGGATGGTAAAGCTAAGTATCATTTGCACCTACTCCCCAGCCCCACCACTGCAGAAGCTGAAGGGGTTCCTAGAGTTGTCTTCTGCTGTGGAGCTGTTCCCACTGGCCACTAGCTAGAGATGGGTGTAGGACTTTGAAACATGAACAAATGGAGCTGGGATGGCAATGGCGGGAACAATATTGTGCTAATCTGAACTCTGCACTTCCTAACTTTGGCTCTGGGTAAATTACCTCAAATTGCAGAGCCTTTGTTTCCATATTTATAATATGGGTGCGGTAAGAGTACCAACCTCTTCTATGCTGTTTGGAAGAGGCAGGTCCATAAGGTAACTGGCATGTGGTTAGGGATTCATGAATGTTGGCTTCTATCATTAAGGGTGGGGGAGCCACATAAGTAGCCAGAGGGAGTCATAGAAAGTTCTTGAGCCAGAGAAGTAAGATAATATTTTCAGCTTTTTGTGCAGCATAAAAGGCGGGTAATTTGCTTGCCTTTGACCAAGCAAATTTGGGATGTGCCAGGCCTGGTGTGAATGGTGGGAACCCAAATAGAGGGATATTTCTCATTGACTGAATTAACTGTGACTCCGTTTTGCGGAGCAGCCAGGTTGCTTCATGGTGGACCTGCTGCACGCCTACATGATGGTGCCGTGGATAGCTCTTGTTTGTGCCAGCCCTGTACCTGATACCTCTTGTGGTAATTGCATCCCTATTTTTCAGAAGGAAGCATCCCTCCTGCCACTTTCTGGTTTTCCCCATGTCCTTCTGGAGGGGATGACCCCAACCGCTTCCTGAAGGGGCTTCGTGAAAGCCAGGTCTGGCCAGGCTGGATGTGGTGATTGGCTCAGGCAGGGGCATGTGGCCCAAACGGGTCCAGTGAAAGTCAGTCCTGGGACTTTGGCTGGAACTATTGGGGAACAGCCTCTGCTTTCTTGCGCAGATGTGAGTTAGGAGCTGCTCAGGCCACTATGTGGAAAGAACTGTGTGAGAATGAAGTGATCAAAGGGAAGCAAGCACTGAGAGATTAGAGAGACTTATCTTGTATAAGTGCCTGTATCCAGCTATGCCTGAAGTGAGGTACCACCCCAGGCCTTTCCAGTCATGCTATCAGTTTTGTTCCTTTTTTCTGTTTTACTCTTGGTAGACTTATTTTTTTTTCCTTGCTACTTGAATAAGAAAAATACCAAACTAGAAGGCTGGGTGCGGTGGCTCATGCCTGTAATCCCAGTATTTTGGGAGGCCAAGGCAGGTGGATCACGAGGTCAGGAGTTTCAGATCAGCCTGAACAACATGGTGAAATCCCGTCTCTACTAAAAATACAAAAAAATTAGCCAGGCGTGGTGGTGCACGCCTTTAATCCCAGCTACTCAGGAGGCTGAGACAGGAGAATTGCTTGCATCTGGGAGGTGGAGGTTGCAGTGAGCCGAGATTGTGCCACTGCACTCCAGCCTTGGTGACAGAGCAAGACTCCAACTCAAGAAAAAAAACATCCAAAATTGACACCCTAACATCACAATTAAAAGAACTAGAAAAGAAAGAGCAAACACATTGAAAAGCTAGCAGAAGGCAAGAAATAACTAAAATCAGAGCAGAAATGAAGGAAATAGAGACACAAAAAACCCTTCAAAAAATTAATGAATCCAGGAGCTGGTTTTTTCAAAGGATCAACAAAATAGATAGACCAGTAGCAAGACTAATAAAGAAAAAAAGAGAGAAGAATCAAATAGACACAATAAAAAGTGATAAAGGGGATATCACCACCGATCCCACAGAAATACAAACTACCATCAGAGAATACTACAAACACCTCTACACAAATAAACTAGAAAATATAGAAGAAATGGATAAATTCCTCGACACATACACTCTCCCAAGACTAAACCAGGGAGAAGTTGAATCTCTGAATAGACCAATAACAGGATCTGAAATTGTGGCAATAATCAATAGCTTACCAACCAAAAAGAGTCCAGGACCAGATGGATTCACAGCCGAATTCTACCAGAGGTACAAGGAGGAACTGGTACCATTCCTTCTGAAATTATTCCAATCAATAGAAAAAGAGGGAATCCTCCCTAACTCATTTTATGAGGCCAGCATCATTCTGATACCAAAGCCGGGCAGAGACACAACCAAAAAAGAGAATTTTAGACCAATATCCTTGATGAACATTGATGCAAAAATCCTCAATAAAATACTGGCAAACCGAATCCAGCAGCACATCAAAAAGCTTATCCACCATGATCAAGTGGGTTTCATCCCTGGGATGCAAGGCTGGTTCAATATACGCAAATCAATAAATGTAACCCAGCATATAAACAGAACCAAAGACAAAAACCACATGATTATCTCAATAGATGCAGAAAAGGCCTTTGACAAAATTCAACAAGCTTCATGCTAAAAACTCTCAATAAATTAGGTATTGATGGGACGTATGTCAAAATAGTAAGAGCTATCTATGACAAACCCACAGCCAATATCATACTGAATGGGCAAAAACTGGAAGCATTCCCTTTGAAAACTGGCACAAGACAGGGATGCCCTCTCTCACCACTCCTATTCAACATAGTGTTGGAAGTTCTGGCCAGGGCAATTAGGCAGGAGAAGGAAATAAAGGGTATTCAATTAGGAAAAGAAGAAGTCAAATTGTCCCTGTTTACAGATGACATGATTGTATATCTAGAAAACCCAATCGTCTCAGCCCAAAATCTCCTTAAGCTGATAAGCAACTTCAGCAAAGTCTCAGGATACAAAATCAATGTACAAAAATCACAAGCATTCTTATACACCAACAACAGACAAACAGAGAGCCAAATCATGAGTGAACTCCCATTCACAATTGCTTCAAAGAGAATAAAATACCTAGGAATCCAACTTACAAGGGATGTGAAGGACCTCTTCAAGGAGAACTACAATCCACTGCTCAAGGAAATAAAAGAGGATACAAACAAATGGAAGAACATTCCATGCTCATGGGTAGGAAAAATCAATATCGTGAAAATGGCCATACTCCCCAAGGTAATTTATAGATTCAATGCCATCCCCATCAAGCTACCAATGACTTTCTTCACAGAATTGGAAAAAACTACTTTAAAGTTCATATGGAACCAAAAAAGAGCCCACATCACAAAGTCAATCCTAAGCCAAAAGAACAAAGCTGGAGGCATCACACTACCTGACTTCAAACTATACTACAAGGCTACAGTAACCAAAACAGCATGGTACTGGTACCAAAACAGAGATATAGATCAATGGAACAGAACAGAGCCCTCAGAAATAACGCCACATATCTACAATTATCTGATCTTTGACAAACCTGAGAAAAACAAGAAATGGGGAAAGGATTCCCTATTTAATAAATGGTGCTGGGAAAACTTGCTGGCCATATGTAGAAAGCTGAAACTGGATCCCTTCCTTACACCTTATACAAAAATCAATTCAAGGTGGATTAAAGACTTAAACGTTAGACCTAAAACCATAAAAACCCTAGAAGAAAACCTAGGCATTACCATTCAGGACATAGGCATGGGCAAGGACTTCATGTCCAAAACACCAAAAGCAATGGCAACAAAAGCCAAAATTGACAAATGGGATCTAATTAAACTAAAGAGCTTCTGCACAGCAAAAGAAAACTACCATCAGAGTGAACAGGCAACCTACAAAATGGAAGAAAATTTTCTCAACCTACTCATCTGACAAAGGGCTAATAACCACAATCTACAATGAACTCCAACAAATTTACAAGAAAAAAACAAACAACCCCATCAAAAAGTGGGTGAAGGACATGAACAGACACTTCTCAAAAGAAGACATTTATGCAGCCAAAAGAAACACATGAAAAAATGTTCATCATCACTGGCCATCAGAGAAATGCAAATCAAAACCACAATGAGATACCATCTCACACCAGTTAGAATGGCAATCATTAAAAAGTCAGGAAACAACAGGTGCTGGAGAGGATGTGGAGAAATAGGAACACTTTTACACTGTTGGTGGGACTGTAAACTAGTTCAACCATTGTGGAAGTCAGTGTGGCGATTCCTCAGGGATCTAGAACTAGAAATACCATTTGACCCAGCCATCCCATTACTGGGTATATACCCAAATGACTATAAATCATGCTGCTATAAAGACACACGCACACGTATGTTTATTGCGGCATTATTCACAATAGCAAAGACTTGGAACCAACCCAAATGTCCAACAATGATAGACTGGATTAAGAAAATGTGGCACATATACACCATGGAATACTATGCATCCATAAAAAATGATGAGTTCACGTCCTTTGTAGGGACATAGATGAAATTGGAAATCATCATTCTCAGTAAACTATCGCAAGAATAAAAAACCAAACACCGCATATTTTCACTCATAGGTGGGAATTGAACAATGAGATCACATGGACACAGGAAGGGGAATATCACACTCTGGGGACTGTTGTGGGGTTGGGGGAGGGGGGAGGGATAGTACTGGGAGATATACCTAATGTAAGATGATGAGTTAGTGGGTGCAGTGCACCAGCATGGCACATGTATACATATGTAACTAACCTGCACAATGTGCACATGTACCCTAAAACTTAAAGTATAATAATAATAAAAAAATAAAATTAAATTAAAAAACCATTAAAAAAACAGACTAGTAAATGCACCCATTTACAAATTCCAAGAGACCTTGAAGATTCTTTTTTTTAGTAGGGAAAACATTCTCCATTTTTCTGCCAACTTTAGGGTTTTCAGAGAAGTTTGGCGGAGAGAGAGGAAAGCAAAGATGCGGGAAGAAAGAGTCCTTGCAGCCCCAAGTTGGGCGAGCTCCTCCCAGCTACTTATACCACAGGGTTTTGGGAGCAGAGCCCTTTCATTAAACTTTTAGGAGTCTTGGATGGATAGGGTGGGAATTACACCAGTGAAACTTAGCTTTGTGTGTGCCAGGCATTGGGCCCTGGGATATGCAGTCATGTCTTGTATAATGACATTTTAGTCAATGACAAACCACATGTAAGTCAGTTGACCATAAGACGATTATGGAGCTGAAAAATTCCTATTGCTTAGTGACATAGCCATTGTAATGTTAGGGTAATGCATTTCTGTGTTTCTGGTGATGCTGGTGTAAACAAATCTGTGCTGCCAGTTCTATAAAAGCCTAGCATGTACAATTACATACAATATATAATACTTGATAATGAACAACTATGTTACTGGTTTATTTTTTTGAGACAGAGTCTTGCTCTGTCACACAGGCTGGAGTGCAGTGGCGCAATCTTGGCTCACTGCAACTTCTGCCTCACAGGTTGAAGCAATTCTTCTGCCTCAGCCTCCTGAGTAGCAGGGAATACAGGCACCCAACACCATGGCCAGCTAATCTTTGTATTTTTAGCAGAGTTGGGGTTTCACCACACTGCCCAGGCTGGTCTCAAACTCCTGACCTCAAATGATCTGCCCTCCTCAGCCTCCCGAAGTGCTGGGATTACCCACATGAGACACTGTGCCCAGCCCTGGTGTATTTAGTGTTTTTCATAATTTTAGAATGTATGTCTTCTACTTACATTAAAAAATAGTTAACTATAAAACAGCCTCAGGCAGGTCCTTCAGGAAGTGTTCTGGAAGAAGAAGGCATTGTTATCACAGGATATGACAGCTCCATGCGTGTAATAGCCCAGGCTGGAGTGCAGTGGCATGATCTCGGCTCACTGCAACCTCCACCTCCTGGGTTCAAGCGATTCTCCTCCGTCAGTCTCCTGAGTAGCTGGGATTACAGGTGCACACCACTATGCCTGACTAAGTTTTGTATTTTTAGTAGAGATGAGGGTTTCACCCTGTTGGCCAGGATGGTCTCGAACTCCTGACCTCAAACGATCTGCCTGCCTCGGCCTCCCAAAGTGCTGGGATTACAGGTGTGAGACACCACGACTGGCAAAATTTTTTAAGATACATTTCAGTAAGCTAAGGTTAATTTATTGAAGAAAAGCTTTAAAAAATTTTGGTGTAGCCTAAGCATATGATGTTTATAAAGTCTACAGTAGTGTACAGTAAGGTCCTATGCCTTCACACTCAATGACTCACCACAGCATCTTCCAGTCCTGCAAGCTCCTTTCATGGTAAGTGCCCTATACAGGAGTACCATTTTAAAATCTCTTATACTCTATTCTTACTGTACCTTCTTTATGTTCAGGTACACAAGTACTTACATTGTGTTACAACTGCTTATGCTATATTCAGTAAAGTATCAGGCTGTACAGGTGTGTAGCCTAGGAGCAATAGGCTATGCCATACAGCCTAGGTGTTTTGTAGGCTATACAAGGCTATACAAGGTTTGTGTAAATGCACTTTGCTGTTTGCACAATGCTGCAATCACCTAAGGAGGTATTTCTCAGAACCATCCTGTGATTAAGAGAGGCATGATCGTACAGTCATCATCTCCCTGAAAGCTCAGTCAACCCTGTGCAGTGCTACTGCCACACTCCCCTTTTGCACATGTAGAAATCAAGGATCTTTGGCTCCTCTGAGTGACTTGTTCAAGGTTTCTCAGTTTCCAAGAGATGGAGGCGGGACTTGAATTGAGATTTCCCTTTCTTGAGAACCTGTGGTCCTTAACCATTAAAACCACTTAAGAGGTCTTCTCTCTTGATCACTACCTACTAAGTGCTAGGTGCGGTACTGAGGCGTTCTCTTGATTATCATATTGAGTCTTTAGATTTAGGAGAAACAGGCCGAGCGCGCTGGCTCACGCCTGTAATCTCAGCACTTTGGGAGGCCGAGGCAGGAGGATCACGAGGTCAGGAGATGGAGACCATCCTGGCTAACACGGTGAAACCCCACCTCTACTAAAAATACAAAAATTAGCAGGCGGTGGCAGGCGCCTGTAGTCTCAGCTGCTCAGGAGGCTGAGGCAGGAGAATGGCATGAACCCGGGAGGCGGAGCTTGCAGTGAGCCAAGATCGGGCCACAGCACTCCAGCCTGGGTGACAGAGCGAGACTGTCTCAAAAAAAAAAAAGAAAAAGATTTAGGAGAAACAAGTCCCGAAGCCCTGACCCTAACACGCAAGGGATAGTGGAGATGTGGGAGTTGAACTCATCTTCTCCGTTGAGTCTGGCTGTCTCCGGGACACAGGCACGTGCTTGCACACCTCCACTGTGGTGATCCCGCCCCCTTAGTAGCGTCCTTAGCTTGGCACTTCTTGCGGGGAAGTTCCTCTTGGCCCAGACCCTCGTCCTAGGCCCCGCGTCGTAGGGGAAGCGAAAGGGGCAGTGTGGGAAAGTGGCCGAGGGGTCAGGTCTGGGGTGGTCTGCAGAGAGGCAGGCGGCGGTGCGGAACCGGGAACCACGCGCTCACCCGCCAAGTCGGACAGGCCCGGCGTGGGTGGGTGAGACACTGGGAACAGCGGCCAGCTCCAGAGGGCGCGAGGCAGGGCGCGCGGGGAGGGGGGTCGAGCGCGGTTGGGGGGCAGTGAGGGTCGCCGCGGGGGCGCGCAGCAGGGCGGGAACATGGCGCGCGGAACTGGCGCGCGCGCCTACCTGGCGGGACCGTTAGCTCGAGGCCGACGCGGCCAGGACCCCGTGGATATGGAGCAGTCGTCGCCGCCGGCGCCCGAGCCGACCCAAGGGCCGACCCCCGCAAGGAGCTGAAGGCGGCGGGAGCCCGAGTCGCAGCCGGCGTCAGCGCCGGTGAGTGCGTGAGGGGCTCGGGCCGGGAGACTTTCTTTGTGAAACTCCGGCGGTGGCAGCCAGGCCAGGCCTCAGCGGCTGAGGAGCGCCTGTGAGGCGGAAGGCGTCTTGCAGTCCGGGTTCGATCCCAGCCGCGAGCTGTCAGGCGGCTGGACCTGGTCTACCGCCTGTCTGCCTCAGTTTCCATGGGAGTGTGTGTGGGTGTGTGTGGGTGTGTGAGGGTGTGTATGGGTGTTGGCCTGAGCACACCGGAGGGGGGGTCGGTATACAGTCGGGGCCTAATGCGCGCGGCGCCTCCCCCCTCCCCCCAGTCCCTGTGGGGCGGAATCTGGGGACTGGAGTCCACCAGAGCAGTAGGCGGCACCCGCGGGGAGACAAGTGTCGGCGCAGCCCAGGAGGCTCAGGTGCTACCTTTCCCAGGTGGGGTTTGTGAGGAGTGAGCTCTTCGTCCCTGGAGGCGAGCAAGTCTGTCGGTGGCTCATCACAGAGTGCCATTTTGGAAAGCGTTCTACCCACCTCAGCTTCGTGCTGTGTTTGGGCCACTAGTCAGGGGGAAGGATGCTGAGCGACATGGACTTTAGAGGTGGGGCTCCCGCTGGACGGGATGGCTCTGGGCTCTCCAGCTTACCCCCACCCTTGCCTCCCAAACCCGTTAGAGTGTAGGAATCATTGGGAGCGCCTGATAAAAATGCCACGGATTGTGGCTCACCAAAGCAGGGAAGCCGATTTGGAACTTAAGCTCCCAAGTTGTGATCAGTCGAGCTTGGCAAGCACTGTTTTAGAGAGTAGGCTTCCTGCAAGCAGGAGCCAGTTTTGTGTATACCTCACCATGGCATCTTGGTACCTGGCATGGTGCCTGGCACATGGTAGATGATCAGAAAATATCTGTAGAAAATCTAAATTATTAGGGATAGTGCAGCATAGGAGTTCTTGAGACATTTTCAGGAGTTTCTTGAGATTAATATCTGTCAGATTTGTTTTACAGTATATGATTTTTCTCAGCTCCCAACTTTCGTGATTGTTTTTAATGCCATGTTTTCAGTATGTTCTAGGCAAAAGCAGGGTATATGTTGCTTAGTATACACTATCCACTAGGCTGGTTGCGGTGGCTCACTCCTGTAATCTCAGCACTTTGGGAGGCAGATTGCTTGAGCCCAGGGGCTTGAGGCTGTAGTGAGCCAAGGAGTTAGAGGCCAATGTGGGAAACATAGCGAGGCTCGTCTCCGCAAAAATTAGCTGAGTGTGGTAGCGTGCATTTGCAGTCCCAGCTACTCTGGAGGCTGAGGTGGGAGGATTGCTTGAGCTGAGGAAGTACAAGTTGCAGTGAGCCAAGGTTGTGCCACTGCATTCCAGCCTGGATAACACAGCGAAACCCAGTCTCTTAAATAAGTAAATAAATACATAAATGATTATGTATACTCCAGCTAGGTTAAAATTAATTCTGAATCAAAATTCTAAATTAAAATATGCATGTTTCTTTCTCTTCATCATTTGCGAACACTAGGCTTTTAGGATTTCATTCCGTTGGGGCATGTAAATATCTACATTTTTGACAAAGCAAATATGAATTACTGTTAATTCAAGAAAAGTGGGAATTTGCTTAAACCTGAGTATTTGTTGTCTTTGTGATTTTTTTAAACTTTAAATATAAGTTTTCTTTTTTTTTTCTTTTTTTTTTTGAGATGGAGTCTCACTCTGTCATCCAGGCTGGAGTGCAGTAGCACAATCTCAGGTCACTACAACCTCCACCTCCCGAATTCAAGCGATTGCCCTGCCTCAGCCTCTGGTGTAGCTGGCATTACAAGTGTGTGCCACCACGCCCAGCTAATTTATGTATTTTTAGTAGAGAGGAGGTTTCACTGTGTTGCCCAGGCTGGTCCCAAACTCCTTGACCTCAAGTGATCTGCCCACCTTCGCCTCCCAAAGTGCTGGGATTACAGGCGTGAGCCACAGCACCTGGCCTTATTTTTACTTTTTTGAGACAGAGTCTCAGTCTGTCGCCCAGGTTGGAGTGCTGTGGCATGATCTCCACTCACTACAACCTCCACCTCCCAGATTCCAGCGATTCTAATGCCTCAGCCTCCTGAGTAGCTGGGGTTACTAGACCCGGCTAATTTTTGTTGTATTTTTTTAGTAGAGACTGGGTTTCCCTATGTTGGCCAGGCTGCTCTGGAACTCCTGGCCTCTAGTGATCCACCTGCCTTGTCCTCCCAAAGTGCTGGAATTACAGGCATGAGCCACTGCCCCCAGCCAATCTTTGTGATACTTTGAAATTGAGGTTTATATTTTGTTCAGAGTCAAAGCTAAAATAGAATTGCTTGAAAATTAATATTTCAGGAACTTTTTTTATTTAAGTTGAATTTTATTTTATTAGTTTCATTTCAGTAGGGTTTTAACTTAAAATATATATATATATATACACATATATATATATTTTTGTTTTTCCTAGATGGAGTCTTGCTCTGTCACCCAGGCTGGAGTGCAATGGCATGATTTTGGCCTCACTGCAGCCTCCACCCTCCCAGCTCAAGCAATTCTCCTGCCTTAGCCTCCCAAGTAGCTGGGACTACAGGTGCCCACCACCACACCTGGCTAATTTTTATATTTTTAGTAGAGATGGGGTTTCACCATGTTGTCCAGGCTGGTTTTGAACTCCTAATCTCAAATGATCTGCCCTCCTTGGCCTCCCAAAGTGCTGGGATTACAGGCGTGAGCCACCGTGCCTGGCCTAAAAAATATTTTTAAAGACAGGATCTAGCTATGTTGCCTCAGCTGGTCTTGAACTCCCAGTCTTGGCCTCAAGTGATCCTTCTGCCTCGGCCTTCTGAGTAGCTGGAAGCACAGCTGTGAGCCAGCACACCTGGCTTTTTTTTTATTTCTAATAAAAAAGTTAATAGAGTTTCTGGTTTCACTGGACAAAATATGCATATATAGGAAGGAAAGACTTTTGGACTTGAGATTGTGCTGAAGAAGAAAAATGGAAAAATTAAGCATTTTAGTCTCTCAGTGTGTTATTTTTGTAGCTTATACAGATATGTCTTTTTAAAGTGTCTTTAAAAAGCTTTATTGAGATAAAGATAAATGAGATAAATTCACCTACCATGAAATCTACCCCTCGAGTGCAGAATTTTGTGGTTTATAATATGTTCACAGAATCGCACAAACAAGACAGGTATCTAGATACTTTCAGACCATTTTCATCAGTCCACAAGAAATCCCATACCCATTAGCAGTCATCCTTATTCCCTTTTCCCCTAGTCCCTGGCAATAACTAGCCTACTTTCTGTCTCTGAGTTTAGCTCTTCTGGAGGTTTCACAGAATGAAATCTTACTACATATGGTCTTTGTGATTGACTTATTTCACTTGGCACAGTGTTTTCAAGGTTTATCCATGCTGTAGCGTATATCAGCACTTCATTCTTTTTTAATGCTGAGTAATCTTTTGAATGGATATACCATATTTTATCAGTTCCTCTGCTGATAGGCACTTGAGCTTTTTTTCCAATTTTTGGCTATTATGCACAATGCTGCTGTGAACATTTGTGTACAAATTTTAGTGTGGATGTATATTTTCATTTCCCTTGGGTATATCCCTAAGGAATACACTATCTGGGTCACATGATAATTGTTTAAGACTACAGGCACGTGCCACCACACCTGGCAAATATTTAAAAATTTTTTGTAGATAAAGGGTCTCGCTATGTTGCCCAGGCTGATCTTGAACTCCTGGCTTCAAGAGATCCTCTCACCTCAGCCTCCCAGAAAGTGTTGGGATTACAGATGTGAGTAACTGCACCTATAAAAGAGGCTCATACCTCTTTTTACATATTTTTTTTTTGAGACAGGGTTTCACTCTGTTGCCCAGGCTGGAGTGCAGTGGTGGGATCACAGCTCACTGCAGCCTGGACCTCACTCTATATGATTCTAGCTGTGGATGTCTTTCCTGTAGTTTTTATTATGTTGCAATATGTTTCTTCTGTACCCGTTTCTTTGAGGATTTATAGCATGAAGGGATGTTGAATTTCATCAAATGCTTTTTCAGTTTCAGTTGACATGATCATACTGTTTTTGTCGTTTATTTGGTTGATATGATGTATCACATTGTATGTTGATTGACCCTTGCATCCCAGGGATACATCCCACTTGATCATGATGAATTATCTTTTTAATGTATTACTGAATTTGATTCACTGGTATTTTGTTGAGGATTTTTGCATCAATATTAGAGATACTGGCCTGTAGTTTCCTTCTTTGATGTCTTTGTCTGATTTTGGTATCACAGTAATAATGGTCTCATAGAATAAGTTTGGAAGTATTCCCTCCTGTTTTTCAAAATAGTTTGAGTAGGATTCGTACTAGGTCTTTAAATTGTTTGGTGTGAAGCCATCAGCAGTGAAGACATCAGTTCCTGGGCTTTTCTTTACTGGGAGACTTTTCCTGATGGCTTCAATCTCATTACTTGTTACCAATCTGTTCTGGTCTTGGATGTTTTCATTGTTCAACCTAAGTAGGTTGTATGCATCTAGGAATTTGCCAATTTCTACTAGGCTTTCCAATTTATTGGCATATAATAACCAGTTATGATCCTTTGAATTTCTGAAGTATTAGTTGTAATGTCTCCTTTTTTTATCTGTTGATTTTATTTATTTGAATCTTGTCTCTCTTTTCTTAGTTAGCCTGGTTAAAAGTTTGTCAATTTTGTTTTGCTTTCCAGAAAACCAACTTTTCGTTTAATCTTGTGTGTTTTTTCTTTCAATTTTATTTCTGCTACGATCTTATTTATTTTCTTATTTTCGGTTTAGTTTGTTCTTACTTTACTAGTTCTTTAAGATGTATTGTTTATTTGAAGTTTTTCTTTTGTTTGGATAGTAGGCACTTATAGCTGTAAATCTCTGCCTTTGTACTGCTTTCTGCATAACAAGTTTTGGTATACTGTGTTTTCGTTACCCTTTGTTTCATGAAATTTTTGAATTTCTGTCTTAGTATGTTCATTGACCCGCTAGTCATTTATTCAGGAGGGTAGTGTTTAACTTCCATGTGATTGTATTGTTTCCAAAATTACTCTTCTTATTGATATCTAGTTTTATTCCTTTGTAGTCAAAGAAGATGGCCACGGAGATAGCAGCATGGTCAAGTAGGAGCCGGCCATTGGCAAGAGCTGCTACGTGCCTGGCTGCTGGGTGCTAGAGCCTGTGGCCCACTGGCTTGCCTCACTGTGGTTGGTGGTGGTGGTGACAGAGACTGCAGCATGACCAGAGTGGTAGCACAGGGGCTATACAGGGCTGCACCTTTCGCAGTGTGGGGTGGGTTGGGGGCGCTATCCAGGGTGTCATTGCCTGCATTAGGGGTACTGGTTGGTAGCACTGTACAGGGTTGCACTGCCCACGGCAGGGAGGGTGGGTTATGGGCATTTTCTGGGGCTGCAATGCCCATGGAGGAGGACAGGTTAGGGAACTATCGGGTATACGCTACTGGCGGCATTGGGGGACGGAGGTGGGGGGCGCTATTGAGGGCAGGACTAGCTGTGGAGGGCGGGGGAGTTCGGTGCTATCAGGGGCTGCACTGCTGGCGGCGGTCAGCAGAGTTGGCATCCAAGGAAGGAGTGGTTCTCTTCTCCCTGACTCCACACTCCAGAGGGTGACCCACTTTTGGTCATACTTGAGTGCGGCAGGCACACAGCGTTTGCGTGGGAATCTTGAGCATGGCAGAGCCCCCACACCCACCGTGGTTCCTGGGCCTGTGCACTCTGGGTCTGTGCCTCAGAGGCTGCCAGGCACCCCTGGGGACACCACGGGGAACAGGGCCTTGTGTGTGGAGGCGTCCGGAACAGGAATTGGCACCTGGGTGCGGAGGGCTGGCTGGGTCTGAATTTTTCTGCTTCTCCTGTTCCCTGAGGAGTGCAGCCCTGGTGGGCCCAATGGTTCCTGTGGAGTGGGGAGCTGGGTGCTGTGGTGTCTCCAGCACCCACCCCAGACACCAGTTCCCGGCCAGCTTGGGCCAAAAGGAGAGGCTGGACTTTGGAGGGTGGGTGTGAGTTCCTTTGCTGAAACTGGCCCCTGCCACCCAGTGGCCAGCATGACAAGTTGAGGCTCTAACCCTTCCACCGCTCTTCCTCTAGGCTTTTCTGGCTTTGCCCGCCCAGCTACTCCATGCCAGGAGGAGGAGGAGACACCTAGAGCCTGCGACACCATGACTCGCCTCACTGCGGGTGGGTGGCAGCGACGGAGACTGCAGTGTGCCAGAGAGGTAGGAGAGCGGCCACGCTAGGAGGGCAGGCGGCTGCAGCCAGGGTTGGGGGTCAGGTTTAGAGCGATGGACGGGCTGCAGCAGTGGCCAGGTGGTAGGAGCCTTGTAGGGAGGGCTGGTGCATTGGCAATGGGCCTGGCTTTGCCCTGCCTTGCCCTGTACCTGCCCTACTGTTACCTGGACTGTCTCGGCCCTATCCTGCTCTGGTCCCATCCTGACCCTGTCTTGGCCCTGTGCTGCCCTGTGCTACCCTGTCCCTGCCCTGGTGTTGCCCTGGCACTGGCCCTGCCATGAACCTGCACTGGCCTGATCTTGGCTCTGGCCCTGGCTCTGACCCTGCCTCTTGTCCTGACCCTGGTCATGTCATGGCACTGGCCCTGCCAGTGGTCATGGTCCTAGTCCTGTTCTGTCCCTGACCTGGCCTTGGACATGTCCTGGTCCTGCTTTGGCCCATCCCTTCCCTGGCCCCACCATGGGCCTGCCTGTTCTGCCCTCTCCTGGCACTGACCTTGCCCTGTCATGGCCCAGTGGTGCCACTGCCCTGCCTTACACTGTGCTGGTTGTGCCTTGCCCCGCTTGGTGCTGGCCGCTCCCTGGACCTGCCCAGACCCTGCCTCGAATTTTGCCCTGCCCTCACTATGGCCTGGCCCTGGCCCTAGCCCTGGTCCTGCCATATCCCTGGCCCTGCCCTTATCCAGGCCCTGCCCCTGCTGCTGCCCTGGCCCTGGCCTGGAACCTGGTCCTGTCAAGGACCTGACCTGACTCTGCCATGGCCCTAGCCCTGCTCTGCCTTTTACCTGGCCCTGACCCTTTCCTGGCTCTGCACTGGCCTTTCCTTGGCCCTGAGCTGGCAGTGGTCTGCCCCTGGTCTTGCCATTAACCTGCCCTACTGTGCTCTGGATGTGTCATCACCCTGCCCTGGCCCTACTCTGCCTTTGATCCTGCCCTGGCCTTACCTTGGCCCTCACCCTAGTCTTCGCTAGGCCCTGCTCTGGAGCTGGCCCTAGCACAGACCTGGCCCAGACCCTGGACCTGGTCTTTGTCCTGCCATAGCCCTGGCCCTGAAGTGGACTTGGAGGTGTCCTGGCCCCAGCGTAACATGGCTCTGCATTGGCCTGTCCCTGCCCTGCCCCTACCATCGCCTTGCCCTGCTCTGCCCTGTCCCAGTACTGACACGGCCATGCTATTTCCCTGCCTTACCCTGCCTTGGCTGTGCCCTGGCTCGGTTCTGGCCCTGGCCCTGGCCCTGCCCCGGACATGCTCTGACACTGCCTCAGCCTTGGCACTAGCCTGGCTCTTTCTTGGCATCAGCCCTGCTCTCTCTGTGGACCGACTTTTGTCCTGTCCTGCACTGGCCATACCGTGCCCTGCCCTGCCCTGCCTTGACTCAGCCCTGGCTCAGCCCTGGCCCAACCTTGGCCTTGGCTTTGCCCCTGGTCATGCCATATTTCTTGCCCTGTCCCTACCCTGGCCTTGGCCCTGACCCTTACCTTGCTCTGGCCCTGCCCTTGCCCTAACACAGCCCCTGGCCCTGTCATGGCCCTGCCCTGGACCTGTCCTGGCCCTGGCCCTTCCCTGCTTGAGATCTTGCCCTGGTTCTCCCCTGGCCCTGACTCTGAAATGCCTGGCCCTACCCTGGCCTTGCACTGCTCTGGCCCTTGCCCTGACTCTGGTCCTGTCACTGGCTTAGCCCCAGCCCTGTTGCTGGTCTTACCATCGCCCTGACCCTTCCTTGGCCTTGCCCTGACACTGTCCTGGACCCTGGCTGTGCCAAGATCCTGCACTGTTCTTGCCCTTGTTTTGCTCCTGCCCCAAACCTGGTACTGCCCAGGCCCTGGCCCTGGCCCTGCCCTGGCTGTTCCCTGGCCCTGCCCAGGTCTTGGCACTGGCCTGGCCCTGCCCTGCCTTGGCCCTATGCTTTCCTGGCCCTGCCTTGCCGGCCCTGGTCCTGCCTTGGCCCTAGCCTGGCTTTGACCCTGCCCTGGCCCTACCTTGGCCTTCACCCTAGCCTTACCTGGGCACTGTGTTGGACCTGGCCATAGCACAGACCTGGTTGTGGCCCTGGCCCTGCCATGGCCCTGTCCCAGACCCTAGCCCTGCCAGGTACCTGTCCTGTCCCTGCTCTGGGCCTGGCTTTGTCCCTGGTTCTTAGATGACACTGGCCCTGCCCCTGCCCTTGTCCTTGCCCTGGCACTGGCCTTGGACATGTCCATGGTCCTAACCCTGGCCCTGCCCTGGAGCTGCCACTCTTTGCCCTGCCCTGGCTCTGGCCCTGCCCCGGCCCTTGCCCTGCCCCGGCCCCAGCCATAGACCTGCCCTGGTTGGTCGTGCCCTACCTTAACCCTGTGCTACCCTGGGCCTGTTCCACCCTGCCCTCCCTTTAGCCCTGCCCTGACCCCACCTTGGCCCTCACACTGGCCCTAGCACAGACCTGGTCCTGTCTGTGGCCTTGGCCTGACATTGACCCCTGCTTCTGACCCTGGTCCTGCCATGGCCCTGGCCCTGCCAATGACCCTGAGAGCCCTGGCCCTGGCCTTGTCTTGGCCCTGGCCCTGAACTGGCCCTGCCCTGACCCTGGCCCTGAAGTGGATTTGCAGGTGTCTTGTCCCTGATTTAACCTGGCCCTACCATGGCCCTGTCCCTCCCCTGGCTCTGTCCTGGTCTTGTGCTTACCCTGACCTGGACCTTGGCCCTGCCCCAGACTTGTCCTTGACCTGGCCATGGCCCTGCCCCTGCCCTGGACCGGCGCTGGCACTGGCATGGACCCTGGCCCTGGCCCTTCACTACTTAAGGCTATATCCTGGCCCAGCCCTGGTCCTGACCCTGTCCTGGCCCTAATTTGGCCTGGTTCTACCCTGGCATGCTATTCTTGCCCTAGCCCTGACCCTGTCCCTGTCCCTGTCCCTGTCCCTGTCCTGGCCCTAGCCCCGTTGCTGGTCCTGCCATGGTTCTTATCCTGATATTGCCCTTTCCTGTTCCTGGCCCTGGCCTTGTCCCAGCCCTGCTCTGGCCCTGGTCTGAACCCTGGCCCTGCAATGGACACTGCTTGGTCCTGCCCAGACCCCGGTTCTGGCCCTACCTCTGCCCTGCCCATACCCTTGCCCTGGCCTGGACCCCGGTCCTGGTCCTTGTCCTGCCCCAGCCGTGGCCCTGGCGCTGCCCTGCCTGTGCCCTGTTCTATCCTGGGCTGGCCCTGCCATGGCCTGGTCTTGCCATTGCCCTGCCCTAGCCTGCCCTGCTTGTGCCCTAGATCTGCCCCGGCCTTTACCCCTGTCTTTGTTCCAGCCTTGACTCAGCCCTGGACCTTCCCTGACCTTGCCTCAGCCCTGGCACTACCCTGGCCTTGCCTTGGCATTTGCCCTACTCTCTCTATGGCCTGACTCTGGTCCTGCCCTGCTCTGCTCTTGTTCTGTCCTGGCACAGTCCTGGCCCTGGACCTGGCCCTGCTGTATCACTGGCTCTGGTCCTGCCCTTATGCAGGCCTGACCCTGCCCCTGCCTTGGCTTTGGCCTGGACCTTGGCCATACAGTGACCATGCCATGACCCCTTCCTGGCCCTGGCCTGGAACCTGGCCCTGCCAAGGACTTGCCCTGGCTCTGTCATGGCCCTGGCCCTTTCCTGGATTTGGATGTGTCCCGTCCTTTATTTGCCCCGGCCCTTCCCTGGCTCTGCCATACCCCTTCTCTGGGGTAGGGCCAGGGTCAGGACCAGGGTAGGGCCATGGTAAGGCCTGAAGATGGGAAGGGCCAGGGCAGTGGCAGGACCAGGGAAGGGTCAGGGCCAGGGATGTGGTAGGACTAGGGGCGGAGCCGGCACTAGGGCTGAGACGGGACAGAGCAGGAGAGATTACATTAGGCTATTACATAAAATTTTTATTTTAGATTTTTAAGATAACTATAGTAGTGGTAATAATGTCTATACTATGTTGTTTGTAATAGTAATAATATTTACAGTAAATAATCACTAAATTTTAACTAATACTATCTCTGCTTCCAGTACTGTTCTATGAGTATAATTTTATCAATATGTTAATATGTGTGGCATTGATTCTCACAATAATTCTATGTGCTAGGTACTTAAAGCATCCCCATTTTCCAAATGTAGGAAACAGGCATAAAGAAGTTAAATACTTGGCCAGATTACTCCTGTAATCCCAGCACTTTGGGAGGCCAAGGCAGGCAGATGGCTTGAGCTCAGGAGTTTGGAACCAGCCTGGGCAACATTGTGAAACCTCATCTCTACTAAAAATGCACAAAAAGAGCTGATTTAAGTTTCTTGTAGGATTCTGGTTATAAAACACTGGTCAAACACACAGGGCATGGATAGGGCAGGGCCAGGGACAAGGTCAGGTCAGGAAGGGGCCAGGGCCAAGGGAGGGCCAGAGCTGGACTTGGAGGTGTCCTGGTCTGATTTGCCCTGCCCCTACATTGGCCCAGCCCTGCTCTGGCACTTCCTGTCATGACCTGTCCCTGGCTTGAGCATTGGCCCTGGCCCTGTCCTGCTTCTGACCCTGCCCTGCAGTTGACCAGGCACTGCCATGGCCCAGTCCTGCATTGCCCTGCCCTCCTCTGCCCTGGTGCTGCCATGGCCCTGCTTGTGCCCTAGCTCTGCCTCGACTCTGGACCCACCCTGACTCTGCTCAGCCTTGGATCTACCCTGACTCTGCCTTGGTGTTGCCCTCCCATCTCTATGGCCTGGCTCTGGCCCTGCCTTGCACAGGCCATGCTCTGCCCTTCATGTCCCAGCCTGAGCCCAGCCCTTGCCCTACCTTATTCCTGACCCCAGCCATACCCTTGTTCTGGCCTTGACTCTGCCATGGTACTCTCCTGGCCCTTCCTTGGTCCTGCCCTGCCCTTCCATGCCCTGGCCTTGCCCTCACCCTGCACTGGTCCTGCCCTGCCCTGGCAGTGCCTTGGCCCCGACCCTGCCTTCTCCTTGGCCTTGCACTTTCCCTGCCCTGGCCTGACCCCAGGTCTATCGAGTCCATGAAACGACCTTGGACCTGCCATCCCGTCATCTGTCCTGGCCCTGTATTGTCCCCACCATGCTCTGGTCCAGCGCTTGCCCTGGCCCTGTTCCTAGTCCTGCCACTGCTATGGCCCTGCCCTGTTTTTGGCCATGCCCTGTGCTACCCTAGCCCTGCCCCGCCTTGGCCTTGGCCCTACCATGGCCTTTTCCTACCCTGGCCTGGCTGTACACTGGTCTTTTCTACCCTGGCCTTGCCCTTCCCTGGTCTTGCCCTGCCCTGGCCTTGGCTTTGCCTTATCCTGGTCCTGGTTCTGCCCTGGCCCTGCTGTTTCTCTGGATCCTCTCTGGTTCTGCCTTCTCCCTGGCCCTGCCCTTGCTCTGGCCCTGTCCCTGGCTCAGCCTTGACCCTGGCCCTGGCCCTGACAATCCCCAGGCCCCACACTGGGCATGCTTGGCCCTGGCCCTCCTTTGGCCCTGCCCTGGCCCTGTGCTATCTTAGTACAGGTCCTTGGCCTTGGCCCTGTGCTATCTTAGTCCTGCCCTGGCCCAGAACTTGCCCTGGCCCTACCCTCACCCTACACTGGCCATGCCCCACCCTGGCATTGCCCTGCCCTGGCCCTGCCTTTGGCCTGCCCTGGCTCTGGTTCTGCCCTGGCCTTGCCCTTGCCCTGGACCCTCCCTGGCCATGTTTTTACCATGGTCCTTTTCTGGCCTTGCCCTTGCCCTGTCCCCTTTCTGGTCCTGCCATGTTTCTGGCCCTGCCCTGTCCATATCCTGGAACTGACTCTGGCCCTGGACCTCCCTGTCCCTGCCTTGCCATACCCTGGCCCGTTCCTTGCTCTACACTGACCCTGCCCTGTCTTGGCCCTGTGCTACCTTAACCCTGCCCTGGCCTTCTGCTGACCCTGATCCTGCCATGGCCCTGGCCCTGCCATGTTCCTGCCCTGGCCCTGGTTCTGCCCTACTTCTGGCCCTGGCCTTGGTCCTCTCATGTCCCTGGCCGTGACCCTGCCCCTGGTTTTTCTCTGGCCATGACCCTGCCCCAGTTCTGTCCTATCCCTGGCCCTGTCTCAGTTCTGTCCTAGCCCTGACCTTTCACAGTACTTTATGCTTAGTAAGGGCTCCATAGTGTCTGTGAGTTGAATGTTGTGTTCATAGTATCTGCCAAAACAGAAAGAAAAAAAAACAAAATATGATGATGAGAAGTTAAAGCTTTGTATATAATATGCCTTGAATTGTAAGTGCTTGTTATTAGTTGTATTACATATAGGTCATGGTTTTGTACACATAACTCCAAACCATTGATACTGTTAAAAGAATATATGAATATATGAAAGAATGTATAAACGTAAGAATATATGAGTGTCTAATGACCTCTCCAAATTAATTTTTATTTTTAGCTCTAATAGATTTTTCTCAGTATAACAAATGTTTATTCCTGTGTAATTAAGGGCATATTTCCTGTACAGAATATTCATATTACCTAATTGAAAATTATATAATGCAAAAATATAATACTATTTTTAGGCCAGGCATGGTGGCTCATACCTGTAATCCCAACATTTTGAGAGGCCAAGTTTGAAGAATCATTTGAGTCCAGGAGTTGACCAGCCTGGGCAACATAGTGAGACCTTTTCTTTATTAAATAAATAAATAAATAAATAGGTTGGGCACTGTGGCTCATATCTGTAATCCCAGCATTTTGGGTTGCCAAGGCAAGAGGATTGCTTGAGTCCAGGAGTTTGAGACCAGCCTGGGCAGCATAGCAAGTCTCCATCTCTACAAGTAATAAAATATTAACCAGGTGTGGTGGTGCACACCTGGGGTCCCAGCTACCTGGGAGGCTAAGGTGGGAGGTTTGCTTGAGGTTGCAGTGAACTGTGAATGCACCACTGCATTCCAGCCTAGGCCACAGAACAGGACGTTGTCTATAAATAAATAAGTAAAAATATAATTAAAAAAAGTAAAAAGAAATATAAGTAAATATAAATAGAAATACATATAAATATAAAAATGAATACATGAAAAGAAACAATTTTTAAATTTAACATCACTGAGGGCATCCTATCCATTTCATTTTATGATTCCATTACATCATTTCACTTAGATGAAATGATAAGATGACTTGAGATGAGATGAAATGATGAGATGAAATGATGAAATGAAATGATGAAATGTTGAGATGAAATGATGAGATGAAATTTTGAGATGAAATAGTGAGTATAAATGATGAGATGAAGTGATGAGACAAAATGACAAAACTGAAAAGAAATTGAAAGGAGATGAGATGAGATGAAATGAGATGATGGATGAAATGATGAGATGAAACGAGATGAAATGATGAGAAGAAATGATGAGATAAAATGAAATGAAATAATGAAATGAAATGATATGAAATAATGAAATTGAAATGAGATGAGATGAGATGATATAATGAGATAAAATGATGAGATGAAATGAGATGAACAATAAGATGAAATGATGAAATGAGATGAGATGATAAGATGAAATGATGAGATGAAATGATGAGATGAAATGAGATGAAAAATGAGATGAAAAATGAGATGAAATGAGATGAAATAATGAAATGAGATGAAATGAAATAATGAAAGGAAATTATGAAATGTAATGAAATTGAAATGAGATGAGATGAAATGATGAGATGAAATGAGATGAAATGATGAGATGAAATGGGATGAGATGAGATGAAATGAGATGAAATGAGATGAAATGAAATGAGATGTAATGAAATGTGATGAAATGAAATGACATAATGAAATGCAATAATGAAATGAGATGAAATGAAATAATGAAATGATGAAATGAAATGATGAAATAATGAAATGGCAATGATGAGATGAGAAGAAATGATGAGATGAAATGATGAAATGATGAGATGAGATGAAATGAGATTAAATGATGAGATTAAATGATGAGATGAGATGTGATGAAATGAGATGAAATGATGGCATGATATGATGACATGAAATCAGATGAAATAATGAGATGAAATGAGATGAAATGATGAGATGAGATGAAATGATGATATGAGATGAGATGAAATGTGATGAGACGAAATGACATAATGAAATGAAATAATGAAATGAAATGATGAAATGGAATAATGAAATGGAAATGATGATATGAGATGCAATGAGTTGAAATGATGAGATGAAAAGATGAGATGAGAGGAGATGTGATGAAATGATGACATGAAATGACATAAAATGAGATGAAATAAGATGTAATGATGAAATGAGATGAGATGAAATGAGATGAAATGATGAGATGAGATGAGATGAGATGAAATGAAATGGTGAGATAAAATGATGATACGAAATGATGATATGAAATGATGAGATGAATGATGAGATGAAATGATGAGATAAGATGAGATGATGAGATGAAATGATGAGATGAAATGAAATAAAATTAAATAATGAAATAATGAGACGAAATGAAATAATGAAATGAAATGAAATTGAAATAAAATTGAAATGAGATGAGATGAAATGATGAGATGAAGTGATAAGCTGAAATGATGAGACGAAATGATAAGATGAAATGATGAAATAAAATGATGAAATGATGAGATGTGATGAGATGAAATGATGAGATGACATGACATGAAATAAATGAAATAACGAAATGAAATTGAAATGAGATGAGAAGATACGAGATGAGATGAAATGATGAAATGATGAGATAAGATGAAATGAGTTCATGAAATGATGAGATGAAAAGATGAAATGAAATGATGAGATGATATGAGATGAAATGAAATTAGATGAAATGTAAGGAGATGAAATAAAATGACATAATGAAATGAAATAATGAAATGAGGTGAAATTAAATGAGATGATGAAATTAAATGATGAAATGATGAAATGGAAATGAAATGGAAATGATGAGATGAGATGAATGATGAGATGAAATGATGAGATGCAATGATGAGATGAAATGATGAAATGATGAGATGAGATGAGATGTAATGATGAGAGGAAATGATGAGATGTAATGAAATGAAATGAATGAGATGAAATGAAATAATGAAAAGAAATTGAATTGAGATGAGATGAGATGAAATGATGAGATAAAATGAGATGAAATAAGAAATGATGAGATGAAATGAAAGGATGAGATGAAATGATGAGATGAGATGAAATGATGAGATGAGATGAAATGATGAGATGAGGTGAGATGAGATAAATGAGATGGAATGATGAAATGATGAGATGAGATGAGAAGAAATGATGAGATGAAATGAGGTAAGATGAGATGAAATGATGAGATGAGATGAAATGAAATGAAATAAAGTGAAATGAAATGAAATAATGAAACTGAAATGAGGTGAGATGAAATGAGATAAAATGATGAGATGAAATGATGAGAAGAAATGAGATGAAATGATGAAATGATGACAGGAGATGATGAGATGAAATGACGAGATGAAAAATGATGAGATGAAAAATGATGAGATGAATTGAAATGAGATGAAATGAAATAATGAAATAATGAAATGAGATGAAATGAAATGATGAAATGAAATGATATTGAAATGAAATTGAAAGATGAGATGAGATAAATGATGAGATGAAATGATGAAATGTTGAAATGAAGAGATGTGGTGAGATGAAATGATGAGCTGAAATGATAAGATGAAATGAAATGAGATTAAATGGTGAGATGAAAAATGATGAGATGAAATGAGATGAGATGAATTGAGATGAGATGAAATAATGAAATTAGGTGAAATAATGAAATGAAATTCAAATGAGATGAGAAGAAATGATGAGATGAAATGTTGAAATGAAAGGAGGAAATGATGAGATGAGGAGATGAAATGATGAGATGAAATGAATTGAGATGAAGTGATGAGATGAAAAATGATATGAAAAATGAGATGAAATGAAATGAGATGATATGAAGTGACACAATGAAATAAATGAAATTAGATGAAATGAAATGAAATAGTGAAATGAAATGATGAAATGAAATAATGAAAATGAAATGGAAATGAGATGAGATTTGATGAAATGATGAGATGAGATGAAATGATGAGATGATATGATGAGATGAGATAAAATGAGATGAAATGATGAGATGAAATGATGAGGTGAAGTGATGCACTGTCACGTGTGTGTCTATTCTTTTTCCCAACCAACAAAAATTATAATTCATTTTAATTTTATTATTTAAGAATATTCTTAAGAGTTGAAGGAAAAATAATATCTACATTATGGGTTACAATCTAAGTATAAATAATACATAAATATATTAAAACTTACAAAGAATATGTTTTGGAATCGAATATACCATGCTTCTGTGATGACAGTTATTTCATGCTGGTTGTCACAGTTTGACATGAAAAACTAATGAAAAAATGTTTTTAACTGTTTCTAAAAAAACAGTGTCCAAAACAGTTTTACATTCGAAATATGAAAAAGATGTCTTTGTGTTCCTTAATCTGATGAGATTTTCACACTCTGCACATGATAATTGTTAGATTTTTGTTGTGCTGATAAATTGTATATCAAATAAAAAATGTTATTACCTCTTAAATTAGGATTTTTAGGTGATATAGGCAGAAAGGAAGGCAAGTTTTTATAACTTTGTCTAAATGAACTTTCTAAATGCCTGAGTATTAAAAGATAGCATGTCTATAAATCACAATGTATATATTACTGTATGACCTAGGACCAATCAAAACCGTTACCTCTGATAACATTATATTGTGCCCAATGTAAAATAGATACAATAATACCTCAAACTTAAATCCAGGCATTGTCATTGAATATGTTAAGAATATGCAGCAAAGGTGCTTTTAAAAATACAAGCTAGTGATTGTACTAAATTTGTAAATCACATAGGATAGTGGGTCATTTTAAGAATATTAGTTATTTCAATCTATAAACATGGATATCTTTCCTTTTTTGTGTTTTCTTTAATTTCTTTCATTAATATTTGTCATTTTTGTTGTCGAAATCTTTTACTTGCTTGCTTAAATTTATTTCTAAGTACATTTTTGTAGCTATTGTAAAAGGAATTGCTTTCTTAATTTCTTGTTTCAGCTAGTTTACTATCAATATATAGAAATGCTACCGATTTTTGTATGTTGATTTATATCCTGCAACTTTATTAATTTCATGTATCACCCTAAGAAGCTTTTGGTAGCATCTTATTTTTTTCTGTGTATAAGATCACATTGTCTTTAAACAGGGACAATTTGACTGTCTCCTTTCCATTTCAGATGTCCTTTATTTCTTTCTCTCACCTAATTGTCCTGGCTAAGACTTTCACTATGTGAAATATGATTGGTGAAAATAGGCATCCTTTTCTTCTTACAATAAAATCTTTTCTTGTTCACAGTAAAATCTTTCACCTTTTTCACACTCAGTATGATCTTAGCTGTAGATTTGTCCTTTATGTCCTTTGTGTTAAGGCATATATTTTCTATATTAAATTGTTGAGAAGTTTTTTGTCATGTAAGAATATTTAATTTTGCCAAATGCTTTTATTGTGTTTATTAATTTAATCATATGGTTTTCAGTATATATCCAAAGGAAAGAAAATCAGTATATCAAAGAGTTACCTGCACCCGCATGTTCATTACAACACTATTCACAATAGCCAAGATATGGAATCAACAAAAGTGTCCATCAACAGATGAATGGATAAAGAAATGTGACATACATATATAATGGAATACTATTTAGTCATAATAAAGAACAAAATCCTGTTATTTGTGGCAACAAGAATGCAAGTGGAGGGCATTATGTTAGGTGAAATAAGCCTGGCATAGAAACATAAACACCACATAACTATGTGTTCTCACTTATGTATGGAAGCTAAGATTTTTAATCTCGTAGAAGTAGATAGTAGAGTTTTTGTTACCATATCCTGGAAAGAGTAGGAGAAAGAAGAGTATAAGAAAAATGTGGTTAGTACATACAAAATTACAGCTGGAGAGAAGGAAGAAGTTCTAGTTCTCTACAGCACTGTTGGGTGACTGTAGTTAACGGGAATTT
Source organism: Homo sapiens (assembly GCF_000001405.40). Classification (NCBI taxonomy): domain Eukaryota; kingdom Metazoa; phylum Chordata; class Mammalia; order Primates; family Hominidae; genus Homo; species Homo sapiens. The sequence continues at coordinate 91,993,180 of NC_000002.12, forward strand.
ATTGTGTGTTTTCAAATAACTAAAATAAAAGATTTTGAATATTCTCACTGCAAAGAAATAATACATGATTTAGGTAGTGGATATGATAATGACTGTGACTTGATCTTTATGCATTGCATAAATATATCAAAATATCACTCTGTACCCCATAACATGTACATTTATTATATGTCAATTAAAGTAAATTTAAAAGAGAAAAAATGAGGTAAAGGTAAATGTACAGAATTTAATTACTTTTTCTTCTATAAAACCCAAGAGTCAGTACCAAGAAGAGTCAGTTTATTAGTTTTCTAAAATAAAAAAAAATCAGTCACCAAAAAAGGGCAATATTCAAGAAAACATTGAAAATGAAACACAACAATTAGTAAGAATAGAAAACTTGGCCACTGTATCACCCTGTTCCTAGATACCGATTTACTGATGGCCATTTAAATAGAATTTTATTCTATCTAATTCATTTATACTCCCAGAGTTTGAAATTACATTTTACCTAGAATAAATGAGATAACACTTGGAAATTATGTGGTACTCTGCCTAACACACGTTAATAACTCAATAGATGTTAGCAATAAACTTTTAGTATAGTAGTCAAAGTATTAATTTCTCACATTGCAATTTCCTTCAAAGACATGAATACAACCTTTCTAATGACTCCTTGTTCATCAAGATACCTCTTCAAATTATTATATTTGTTTCATTCAGTATATTTTCTGTGTATACCGATATGATATTACACTTTTTTTTTTTCTGAGATGGAATCACATTCTGTAACTGATGCTGGAGTGAGGTGGCATGATCTCGGTTCACTGCAACCTCCACCTCCCAGGTTCAAACGATTTTCCTGTCTCAGACCCCCAAGTAGCTAGGACTACAGGTGCACACCACCATGCCTGGCTAATTTTTGTATTTTTAGTACAGTCAGAGTTTCACCCTGTTGTCCAGGCTGGTCTCGAACTCCTGACCTCAGGTGATCCACCCACCATGGCCTCCCAAAGTGCTGGGATTACAGGCATAAACCACCGCACCCAGCCTGATATTGCACTCTTGGATTTTGAACACTGAATATCTTTTTGAAAGATTACACCTCTTTACCTCTTTGTGCTTCAGAAATTATTTTCCTTCAAGTGTTCTAAGAGTCTAATGAAGAATGAAGTCATGTTTTACCACTTTTGTCCTTAAAGATTTCAGACATGCTGAAACTGATTGAAGTATCACTTGCTACCAGATAGATTAATTATCTCTAGTTGTAGGAGTGGATACATCTTTAATGGTATATTTTGGGTTATTGTCTTATTTTTGATGCAGTATTCTATAAATAATTTATTAAACCTGGCATCCTTGGGTGAACATGGATTTTTCAACTTTGGTGTTATATTGTGTTTGCTTTTCAAAACTGCTTTTGAGGCCGGGTATGGTGGCTCTTGCCCATACCCAGCACTTTGGGAGGCCAAGGTGGGTGGATTACCTCAGGTCAGGAGTTCAAGACCAGCCTGATCAACATGGCAATGCTGTGAGCCAAGTTCGCACCATTGCCCTCCAGCCTGGGTGAAAAGAGCAAAATTCTGTCTCAAAAAAAAAAAAAAAAAAAACCCACCAAAAACTGCTTTTGAATGGAGTTGTACATACAATTTTTATGAAAAAAATTATCAAGTGCATAAGTTCATAATAGAAAAACCAATAATACTCCAGGCACAAGTTAGTACTAAAAAAGTTATGTTGAATATTCTCTAATACAACATGCTTTTTCCCTTCATGAACAATTTGTGTTTTACTGAGAAGAGTCATTGTTTATGGTAGACATTAGACTACAGATGAATATGTACTTTAAACACTCTTAGTTGCTTTCTTAATTTTATATCTGCTGCTTTATGCTTCTCTTTATTTTCATTCTTTCCAATGTCCACATTCTAGTAAATTTGAATATTTTAATCTAAGTTTATATACTGTTTAATATTGCTTGTAGAGTTTAGTATTGTTAAGACACAAAAAGGTTTACAGAAAGAAGAAAAAGATGAACATGTTATTAATCATTTAAAGATCATTTTGAAATCTTTGACCTTTATATTTTAATGAATAAAAGTAGTTATTAGTATAAAATAATTTATGTCTTTTGGACTTAGCATCCAGTATTTCTTTTTTAATAAAGAAAATAATTATTCTCTTGCAATATACTATGTTTATCTGGGTTTTGAAAAATGTTGTTTCCTAATATGAGAAAGCCATTTACATTTTTAAATCTACAAAGGCAAATGGAATGGTACTAAATTATTTACATAATAATGTTTAGATGGTGGCCCTTATAACATTCTTTCTATACTTCCTACAGATTGGGGATATGTAATCCTAGAATATTTCTGGGAGCTAATCCTTTAGCTTGATGAATGAAACAAGACTTTTAAATAAAATTAAACTTTCAAATTATCCAGGTAATGGGCCTGTCTTTTAATTCAATTGATATGGAGCATAATGAATTATCCCCTGTTCATTGGGTAATAAGTTCTCATTCTTAACTTATAATACTCAAAATGTCCTTTAATTTTTAATTTTTGATAGTCATATCATTATCCCTAGGTATTTTAGCTTCTATCTTAAATTCTAAAATAATTTTGAAATAGGAGAAAGTATTCTTTATTACTATATGTATTAAACATCATGGTTTTCAAATTTAACTGCAAATGTACCTTTTCATTGCTTCTTGGTGACGCCCTTCACCCTATCCATATTGTCACTACCAAGTGGTGATTACTTTTCAGGTTCACATACTTATTCTTCAGAAAAATCTTCTCTGTGCCTTATAAAGAATATGATTGTTGGCATTCAAAAGCCAGCGAAGTATACATTATTAGCCTGTTGCCTAACTCATCTCTTTAAGAAACTACACTAATTACCCACATACTTATGTTTTTATTTCCTCTTTATTTCTGGAGAAAACAAATACTGCTAACATGATATTTGTAAGAGAGAAAAAAGTCTTTTCTTGAAAAGTGCTGTCATTGTAGTACTAACTTATAGTATCAACTTCTTTATCAACTCCTTATACAGTTTTTATTCAGAGAGAAATAAAAAAGCTAAAAGTGAAATGACTTTTTTTACTCTCCATATTATAAGCACCCATCTTGGTAATTTAGGGTCTTTATAGTTAGGGTAAGTTGTGTCATACCGAGGTTACAAATTAAAAAGTATTTTGTCTCTTTGGGCCTTTCCTTATTCAGTGATACTGTCAGTTTGGCTTTTTATGTAGGTCAACTTATTGATCTCAGTATTCTGAAATAATGTGTTTACTATCTTTTGATAAGCATTTAAAAATTAGATTTATTGTTACTCTTCTGCCTTCATTGGGCTGGAAGAATAATTGTTTCACTCCACAAAAGCCAAGTTGCAGAGAAAAACACATAGACATTCAACTGCAAAGCAGAGAAACTTGACTACTTTCTGCAATTTTAAAGTGTATATTGAATAAAATCATCTTTTTATTTTCTTTTTTGCTCACTGGCAAATATTAACAACATCAAGTGTGTTATTATAATGTTATCTAGTTAAAAATCTCAAAAAGTTTTCATAATTACCATTTTAAAATATATAAATAGTTGACCTAATGTTAATTTTTATTGTCTGAGACCATGTCTGTTATTTCACTCTTTAAATTCAGTTGGTAATGCAGAACCTAGCACTTAGTAGATACTCAAAAATTATTTGCTGGATAAAAAAAGGTTAAACATGTAATATACACAAAATGTACTGGAAAAAATGCACCAAACAATTTTTTTATACCAGTTTAATGTAAATATTGCCTTTAAAAGATAATATAGTTTTCAGGTGTCTACAGTGATTTTGTAATATTTGTGCACATATAAAATAATATTTCCAAAAATGTAATCCAGTGGGGAAATATACTTTCTAAATTCTAGATTTATAATTTACGGTTTAAATTATAAAATCATTAAATAAAACACAAGTGAAATATAGTCAAATATCCCCTTGGAAAAAAATTAAGTGGCCTCTAAAGTGAGGTATTCATATATGTAACTTTACAATTCTCTAGTGATAGAATTAATTAAATATGCCACCAAATTGATTAATTCCTACAGTGTTAAAAGAGAAGCACTAACAATGCCAGTGACCATGTAACATGGATTTAAGCTACACGTCATAGAAATGTGATGAGAAGCCTCAGCGTTGTAAAACAGAGGGTGGAGGAAAGCTTTTCCTCTCTCAAATGAGCTTTGCGAGGTATACTTCTTGAAGGATAGGAAGTTGAAGTGTTCAGGACTTTTATGTCTATTCTGCTTTGGCTTAGTTTACATGATTCTTAGTTTATTAGCCTAGAAATGGCCAAGAAAACTTAAGGCTCAATAATTAGTTATAAATATGAAATATCCCCAATTTTTAAGATTAAAAACAACTTATAAATGTATTTGTCTGTAAAAATTGTGTATATTTTTACAGAACATCTATTTCTTTTTTTATTTTTTTATATTTTTTAATTATACTTTAAATTCTAGGGTACACATGCACAATGTGCAGGTTTGTTGCATATGTATACATATGCCATGTTGGTGTGCTGCACCCATTAACTCATCATTTACATTAGGCATATCTCCTAATGCTATCCCTCCCCCCTCCCCCCACCCCACAACAGGCCCTGGTGTGTGATGTTCCCCTTCCTGTGTCCAAGTGTTCTCATTGTTCAATTCCCACCTATGAGTGAGAACATGCGGTGTTTGGTTTTTTGTCCTTGCGATAGTTTGCTGAGAATGATGGTTTCCAGCTTCATCCATGTCCCTAGAAAAGACATGAACTCATCATTTTTTATGGATGCATAGTATTCCATGGCGTGTATGTGCCATATTTTCTTAATCCAGTCTATCATTTTTGGACATTTGGGTTGGTTCCAAGTCTTTGCTATTGTGAATAGTGCTGCAATAAACATATGTGTGCATGTGTCTTTATAGCAGCATGATTTATAATCCTTTGGGTATATGCCCAGTAGTGGGATGGCTGGGTCAAATGGTATTTCTAGTTCTACATCCCTGAGGAATGGCCACACTGTCTTCCACAATGGTTGAACTAGTTTACAGTCCCACCAACAGTGTGAAAATGTTCCTATTTCTCCACATCCTCTCCATCACCTGCTCTTTCCTGACTTTTTAATGATCGCCATTCTAACTAGTGTGAGATGGTATCTCATTGTGGTTTTGATTTGCATTTCTCTGATGGGTCTATTTCTTTAAAACAAAGGGAGGGGAGTCTCTCATTTACATTAGTTTTTTTCATAGACTTTTGGACTTCGCAATTTCTATGTTTCGGAACCTATTTCTTACAGTTTTTCTATGCTAAACTCTGTCCTGGTTAGTTCCAGAGTGTATGAAGAACCAAATGATGTAATTGTATGTGACCTGGCTGTAGTGGAACAAATTTGACTCTTAAGTATGCAGGCTCTAATTTTCCTGTCTGGTTTTGGTAAGTATTCCTTACATAGGTTTTTTCTTTGAAAATCTGGGATTGAGAGGTTGATGAATGAAAAGTAATTCTTTCACTTTGTTGTATATAGGTTGGCAATAATTAGGTCAGAGTGGAGTTTTAAGGTCATGAAGGGGGCTGATGACTTACAAATAATGGGCTCTGATTGGGCAACTACTCATCTGAGTTCCTTCCATTTGACCTAATTAAGCTTGTGAAATTTACACTAAGCCATGAGCTCATCTTTAAAAAGTTTTATTAAAAGATTTTCAGCTGTTCCAAATGGGACTTATTAGTGGAATGTGTTTTAAAGGATCATATCAGATGAATGAAAGGTATTTGATCCTTTCTTTCCTTAATAATAAAATGATGGTTTGGAAAAATAGGCTACAGTCTAACCACAGTGCTATTATTAGGCTTTCTTGTTAAACATAGGTCTAAGCCCAAGTATGTCAATACAACAAATACTTACTGTTTCATTTCTAGTAATGAAAAAAAAAACAAGTCTTTCTGGCATAAGGATGATTTTCATCTGGTTATTTTGAAACATTTTTGTAAAATAAATTTCCATCTATAAAGAACATTTTTATTTGTAAGGAGGGGTATGTCTCTGTGCACTGGAAGAGAGGGAGGACTAAATCACTGGGAAGTCTTATGATAAAGAAGCCATTGGCTTAGTTCAGCAAAGCAAGCCATCCCTTGGTTTTAGGTGTTTTTCCTGGCCATCCTGTCTTGACTAGAACTTTACCTACACCTTCCTTTTTGGTTTAGGCAAATTATAATATCTAAACCTGAAGTCTCAGCTCTGTGTCTTTGAGATATAAATGTTCTACCATGTCTTCTCTGGAACCTGATAACTATCTATCTCTTTAAAATGGAAGTCTAGGGAGATGACTTATCAGAAAAAGAAGAAAAAAGAGGTATTTGGAAATTGTGCAAATTAAAGCAGCCCCTGATGCCAAAGTCTACACATTCCTGAGTGAGTCAGTTCTGGCCAGTTCTAGCTGGATCAAGAGAGCTCTGCTGGGCAGGCCTGAAGAGCAGCTGGATGGCAGACACCTGAGGAGCCAGGTGCCTGAAACTTCCTCCACCTGCTTGAGGAGCACCAAAGCCCAGGTGCTGGCTGGACAACCCCTTCTGGCTGCCTAAGCAGGTGGCAGAGGAAGGAAAAAAGGTCAGAGTGTTGAACCCTGCCTCCCAGGTGGGTGGAAGATGCCTGTCGCCAAACTAGGGCCCAGCTTGCCGGGTGAGGTGGGTGAACTGGTGATCCCCCGAGAGAGTGGACGTCAGAACTACATGGTCCCAGACTTCACCTCGGTCAGCAAAGGAGAGAGAGGGTTAATGTTAACTGCAGGAGGCCCACTCTAGCCTTAAATTCTGTAATTCAAACCCTTCCCTTGGAGACAAAACAAACATGATAAGGAATTCTGAGGTCAGGGGACAATAATCACAAGTTCCCTAGTGGGAGACTGAGGAGGCAGTGTCCTTTCTGCCCTTGGTCTACTGGCTAAGAACCTTCCTCAGCCTGACCTTTCCACATTGCACTTTCAGCTCTGTTTGCAATTTTCCTCCTTTAGTGCTGAGGGAATCCCAGTGTTCCATCCTGAAATCTATACGTTCCTAATGGGTGGTTAAAAAAAACCTCAGCAAGAGAAGCAGAAAATGTTTCCTCTTCCTGAAAAACTGTAGAAAGGCAGGCACCATTCTGGGTGGGACATGGTCCTTGCAAAAGTCTTTATTTTTTTTTTTTATTTTGAGATGAAGTTTTGCTCTTGTTGCCCAGACTGGAGTGCAGTGGTGTGATCTCTGCTCATTGCAACCTCCGCCTCCTGGGTTCAAGCAGCTCTCCTACCTCAGCCTCCCGAGTAGCTGGAATTACAGGCACCTGCCACCATACCTGGCTAATTTTTTGTATTTTTAGTAGAGATGGAGTTTTGCCATGTTGGCCATGTTGGTCTCGAACTCCTGACCTCAAGTGAGCCACCCGCTTCTGCCTCCCAAAGTGCTGAGATTACAGGCGTGAGTCACTGTTCCCGGCCAAGATTCTGTTTTGATAGAACACTTGTGTCTCTCTCACCTTGTATTTAGAAAAGTTAGAAAGTAAAGGATAATGTATATAGAAAGCTTTTTGAAGACTCTTAAGAAGTTCATAAATACGGGGCACTATGACTATGCATATGAAAATATTTCCTATCAGTTGGCAGTTACCACCTCTTATAGTGGCATGGAACCTCTTGAGTTAAACCAAGGCTCAGTGAGATTTGGTGATTTAGATAGTGTCATTTTATGAACAAGGGAGACCCTACTCAGGTCTTTTATTTTATTATACTTCTCTTTAGTATTCACTCCAGTTAAAGAACTCTTTCAAAAGACCTCATGCCTGGTCTCATGGAGATTCAAAGGTGTTTGAGTCCTTCCTTATTATGCCCTTGGAAGATACTTTGAGGACCCCAGTGATGAATCCGAAGAACTCTGTCTCCATTATCCCTGGTATAGGGCACCTCATCACTCTGGTGTTATCCCTGAAGGACCTTCATAATAATGTGCTTAAAGAGTCCCCTATTATGTCCTTCAGGATGGAGCTTGACTTGCCCAAATTGCTATGTACATGTTAAAGAGAGGCTGGAACTGAAGTTGGTCATTTCTCACTGGATCAGTCAACAAGATTTGAGTACTTTCTGTGTGCTCTGCATCATTCTGAGTACTCTGGGGGACAGAATAAGGCATGGCTCCTGCCTTCAAGGAGTATGGAATTTAATAGAAGATGACAACATACATGATTGTAAATCTATCTACATGAGAGTGCCTAATTGTGAAATTCCTAATAAACGGCAAGATATGTTCTGAAAATGTGAAACATAAATGAGGTTGAAGAAATTGTGAAAAGTTTAGCAGAGGAGGAATAATTCGTCAGGTTCCTTAAATACAAGTAAAGGGGAAAGGAAGGACCATTTTTAAGTTTAGATGTTCCAAGGGTTAGTGGTGAGGTTGATTATGGTATGTCTTCTCGTTGATGAGGGAGGAGACTGCCGAATAGTGGAAAATAAAGTTAAATAGCTAGGGTGGGGCCAAATTCTGGGTTTTAATAAAAGCCAGGCATAGAAATTTAGATCGGGGTGGTAGAAAAAGGAAGGCTTTAAAAGTTTTTGAGCCAATGAATGACATCATACAAGTTCTATATAAAGAGCAGTGATTGCAGGATGGGAAAGGATGGCATCAGGAAGACCCACTTGAATGCTGGTAAGTAATGTTACTAACAGTGCCATTAGTAACATTAATGTTACTAGGGCCTGGACTGATATGCTGATGGAAGTGAGAATGAAGAATAAGGTGGGATGAAAGAGATTTTGACAAGAGTTTTTTAATGAACCTGAAATGGGAAAGGGTGAGATTAACTAAGCCTGCTTGCCATGGACAGCAATGGGGTTGCTAGAAGATTAGCTGTGCGGAAAAAGTTATGCATTTACCTTTGGGCATAATGAAATGCAATTGACTCTCCATATTCATGGGTTCTGCATCCACCGATTCAAACAACTGTGGAACAAAATTGTCAGAAAAAACAATACAATGAAAAAATGATACAAGTAAAAAACAACATGGTATACCAACTATTTACATAGCATTTACATCGTGTTAAGTGTTATTAAGTAATCTAGAGATGATGTAAAGTATATAGGAGGATATGTGTAGGTTATATGCAAATACTACACTATTTTATACCAGTAACTTGAGCATCCATGGATTTTGGTATACAAGGGGTATCCTGGAACAAATTCCCCATGCATATCAAAGGATGACTGTATGAGTTATCTATAAAATGGTTTGGTTGAAATGTTTAGAAAACAGCTAGAAATACAAGACTGGCTGTTGGATGAAAAAAACATAGGACTAGGAAATTCAGGCATGCTAGTCTTTTTGAGTATTGCTTAAAGCCATGGGAAAAGAGCTCTCTGTGATTTCCAAGACAAATGCAAGAACTGGCATTCATGCACAGCTTCTAATAGATAAATCTGAAGAGTTCTTAGTATGCATGTTGACTGAAATTACTTTAGAAGTAATTTTTCTCCTGGTGATAAAAGGCATGTAAGGCTATTTTAGGAAATTGAAAAATGCAAAAAGGTATAAACAAAAAAAGATAATCATTAATCGTACGTTAGTAAACAAGACTTGACTAAAGATATGACTTTCCTCCCGCTTGTTTTCTTATGCATATAAAGGGATAGGAAATATGTATGTATGTGTGTGTGTGTATAGGATCATGCACTATATATAGCTTGCTTCTTTTTCCATTATGATAATTTTCCCATGTCATGAATTATGGCTTGCAAGTGCTTATTCTTAAAGGGCTACATTATTTTTTATTATTTGGATTTATTGTTATTTAATTGGAGCTCTATTACTGAACATTTAGATTGCTTCCAAAATTTTTTCCTCTTGTTAATATATTGTAATAAACTTCTGTGAAACACATACTCTTCACCTGCTACTTACATATGACTTCTGTAAGCAGAGACCTCTGTATCCCCAGGACCTAGAAGGTTACCTGGACATAGTAGTTGCTTAATTAAAAAAACTTATTGATTGAATGAAAGAAGACTATTAAATGTTCAGTTCTTTTTTTATTCTGATTCCGTGTCTATCCAGGGGCCGCTTATTTGTCTGCATGTATGAGTCTGGCTGTAATGAAAGTATTGGCCGTATATGACCATAAACAGGCATTCCTATTTCTGTCACAGTTATATTTGTCATTCTGTATTAATACATCTATATCCTGATTTCTGTTGAAGCATGGTTAATTTTGTTTTCTTCTAAGCAATGTAGCTACCCTATTGATGCTGATAAAAATAAATTTCTGAATCTATAAGACTGAGGATTGGGCCTAGGTTGTGGTAAATTGGCAAGATAATGGATGCTACACTGTCAAGAGCCCTCTGAAGAGAAAAGTCTGCCACCCTTCACCAGGTAGAAACTCCTGGCAGTGCCACATTTTCCAGTTTGACACCCTGTGATACCCTGAAAAGACAGACATTTGACTCTTTTCAAATAATATTTTAACATATTTTAAGATGCAAAGGCATTGTGTCAGACTTTTTTCTTAAGAATATATTTCATTACCACTCAGAAGTTAGCTTCCAAAAGAAATAAGTGTGTGCAAATGTTTATGATAGTGGTGTAGAGAAGTTTTTAAAATAAATATGCATCTTTTATGGTAATAAAAGCACATTATGAAGAATTTTTTAGGTCCAGTTCACAGATTCCTTATGCCTGGGGAAAACTTTATTAGAAAATTAGATAATTTCTAATTTGATTAGGGGAAGTCTAGTGGGAAAACTTTTTAACTGAGCGGTCCAATTCGAAACATGAATATCTGTGCTGGAAGCTTCTGTTGAAATTTACTTAAGTCACATCTAAGACCCTCTGCCTGTCAGTCCACCATTACCCTAACTGTGGTAGAAATTCTTTATATGACACCTAGATCTTTTTTTGTTGCACTTTTAAGCTGTGTAGGAAACACACTGCCCACATGTTCATACAACACAGAGCGGTTATCCACTTAGTTCCTAAAAAGTTGTATTTGGTTATGGGGTTTGATCCCACTTGTCCAGGGTTTAGGTCAGCTACTGAAGATTAGGATATCTGGGTACCTCTTACTGGAGAATCCATTCCTGTTTCCATTTCATTCCTGGGGGCAATATTCAATCTGGTGTGGCCCTCTGTATTATAAAATGTTTCCCAGATTGTGTTTATATGAAATACAAATCGAAGAAGAAGCATGGTGTTAATTGCCGTGTAAAAAAGATTCCAGAGTCAAGAGCTTGAGAAGTTCTATTCCTTCCTTCATAGGTTCAGTTGTTTAACCCAGCATTTTTCAAACATATTTTACTCCTAGAACCTGTTTTTCCTCAGACATATTTAAGAAAAAAGCATTTTGTAGAACACATTTGGACAAATGATACTTTATATCATTGCTTTGTTTTTTAAATTTTAGTTTGACTCAATTTTACAGTTTCAGGATTTTGTTTCTGTTTCAGGTTTTAAGCTTTTCTTTTGTAAATAGTTACTTTCCTAGTCTGAAATCTATACATTATTTCAGTAATGAATTCATTATGTTAATTTGCCCATCATTCATCTAAAGGGAATAAACGTTGAATTGTTTTTTTAAATTTTGACTTGTGTCACATATGAGAATATAAAGTATATCTGTACAATAAAGGAAAATGAAACATCAAAGTATCTACCTCAGGTTAAGAAGCAGAACTTGGCTGGGCATGGTGGCTCACACCTGTAATCCCAGCACTTTGGGAGGCAGAAGTGGGAAGATCACTTGAAGCCAGGAGTTGGAGACCAGCTTGTTCAATAAAGGAAGACCTCATCTCTAACAACCACAACAGCAAAAAATTAGCCAGGCACGGTGGCACATGCTTATAGTCCCAGCTACTGGTGCAGCCTCGAACTCCTGGTCTCAAGCCATCTTCCCACCTCAGCCTCATGTTCTAGTGAACTTTGTTATGCAGTGTCTCCTATTCTACATGTGCAGGAGTATTTTTACAGTATGTACCTGGAGTGGAATTGCTTGGTCATTGGGCATGTGTGTGTTCAGCTCTATTGAGTGGCATCAAACTCTTCTCCAAAGCAGTTGTACCAATCTACACCCTCACCAGCAGTGAATAGTCTTCCCATTGTTCTTCCTCAATGAAACTAGATATTCACAGCCTTTTAGGTTTTTCCTAGAGTATGAAGTGGTATCTCTTTGGGGTTTTAATGTGTATTTCCCTGATTAGAATTGTAGTTGAGCATCTTTTATTATGTTTATGGGCCATTTATGTTTTCTCTTCTGTGAAATTCCTATTCAGGTTTTTTGCTCATTTTAAATGTTGTTGTTTGTGTTTTTCTTATATAGGAATTCTTCAGGCATTCAAGATGCACGTATGTTGTTCAGAATAGTACCTGAGACATAGAAACAACTTTGTAAGAATAGCTATCATTATATTACCATTGTATTTAATCCTTTGTTTTTATGTGTTACAATTATCTTCTGCTAGTTTGTGGCTCATTTTTCATTCTGTGATGCTAATTTTTTAACCTAGTATTCTATTATTTTAAAAATACACAATCTTGAGTAATCTACATGTTCATAACCATGACATATTCATGTTGCATATGTTCTGTGTCATAACCCAGAACTTTCTTTCTTTTTTTTTTTTTTTTTTTTTTTGAGATGGAGTTTTGCTTTTGTCACCCAGGCTGCAGTGCAATGGCGTGATCTTGGCTCACTGCAACCTCTGCCTCCTGGGTTCAAGTGATTCTCCTGCCTCAGCCTCCCGAGTAGCTGGGATTACAGGCACCTGCCACCATGCCCAGCTAATTTTTGTATTTTTAGTAATGACGTTTCACCATGTTGGCCAGGCTGGTCTCGAAATCCTGACCTCAGGTTATCCGCCCACCTTGGCCTCCCAAAGTGTTGAGATTACAGGCATGAGCAGCTGCACCCGGCCAACTTTCAGTCTTAAGTACCATTTTTTGCTGCTGTTTCTTTATTTGAACCTCAGGAAAAAATTAACTCATTTAATCCCCTATTCAAACTGCTACAATTTTATTTTCAGTGTTGTCGCCTGGTTGTAGATGCATTTGTCTCTCCAAATGCACTATGATTATTTCGAAGACAATACATTTTTGCCATTGTGATATATATAATATGTATATAATATATTGTATAAATATTCATATTTTATATATCATACAAAATTATATATAAAAATTATATATATATATATAAATGCCACTTATCCCTAATATAGGGACTTGATTAGTTTCTGCTAGTGTGGAGACAAGTCATATCATGGCTAGGGGCCATGATGGTAGGAGCAGTCAGAGGATTTCTTGCATTGTGATGAGTGCATATAAGTTAAATGAGCCACTTATCAGTAGATTTGATAGCAGGATAACAGTTATATCACTGATACCTAGGCAGGACATGACACTCGGTAACGAATAGATTAATCCTCATGCTCTTCATCTTCCTCCTAATATCTTTACCTGTGCTGCCCTCCAGCTTTCAAAGTGCTTTGAGTCATCACTTACACAGTGTTCCTTAGCTGCCCCTTCAGTGGGCCAGTGTCTCTGTGCCCCAGTGTTCCTGAGAGTTAGAACACAGAAAACAGAGCAGGCTCTTGCCCACATCACAGAACATCTTTGTCTCCCTGTGGATCCCGCACATTTGTTAATTAGAGCTTAGGAATTGCCAGAGACTGGCTTTTCTGGCAATGGACACTAGATTATTCAGAAGAATATTGGTTGAAATCTTCCTGCTGTGACAGTTCCCTGCACGCAGGGCAGGAGTGTGTGCTTCTTCCCAGCAAAGGCAGAGGTAGGGCCTACAGAAACTGTGCCCACAGCCTATAGTGATGGGGTCTATGAGGTAATTCAGGCAGATGAGGCAGGTGAGTTCTTTCTAGAAGACTTGTGGGAAGTCTGAGTCCATTTTTCTGAGGGAAGAAAACCAGAAGAATTTATTCTTATGCCATAGAGAGACAAAGATCTACACAAAGTTTGAATCAGGTTTTGAGTAAGCTCCGCTCACAGGTTTAAATCTATAGCAGGATACGATTTTATTATGCACATAACAAAAATGAAAAACTGAGGCACAGAATTCAAGCTTTGCAGAAAAATGTGTTGGCTCCCTAACCAACACACACACACACACACACCTACACTCCCAAATTCTTTCCTCCTGTATGAAAAAACTTAAGGCTGGGCACAGTGGCTCATGCTTGTAATCCAGCACTTTGGGAGGCTGAGGCAGCAGGATTGCTTGATCCAAGGAATCCAAGACCAGCCTGGGCAACATGATGAGACCCTGCCTCTACAAAAAGAAAAGGAGGAAAAAATTAGCTAAGCATGCCAATAGTCCCAGCTACTAGGGAGGCTGAGGTGAGAGGATTGCTTGAGCCCAGGAGGTCAAGGCGGCAGTGAGCTGTAATCCAGCCACTACACTCTAGCCTGAATGACAGAGCAAGACTCTGTCTCAAAAATGAACAAAGAAAGAAAGAGAGAGAGAGGGAGGGAGGGAAAGAGGAAGGAAGGAAGGAAGGAAGGAAGGAAGGAAGGAAGGAAGGAAGCAAGGAAGGAAGGAAGGAAGAAAAGGAAGGAAGGAAGTTTACAGAGTTTTTGAGTTGTTAGTGTTCCCTAAATTGTATGGTCTTCAGAGGTTTACCCTCCTATAGCTTCAAGGGGTGAGTCCTGACTAGCAGGAAAATCAATCACACTCTTACTTGCCAGTGATTCATTTAGGGAAGACAGCTAACTAAGCTCTTCCACTTTGATTATTTCATTTAATTGTAACAACCATCTTATCATGACTTCTTCAAAATTACCCTGCCAGTAAGTGTTGGAGGACTCCCCAGAAGCAGAAACCACCATGCTTCCTGTATAGCCTACGGAACCATGAGCCAACTAAAGGTGTTTCTCAGGTATTTCTTTATACCTTTGGCCAAAATTAAAGAGTTAGGCTTTACTCTCCAAGATACTGCAACAGACAAAAACAAGCCACCACTGTTTTCTAATGTTATTTTCTTGTTAATTCAATCAACAAGTATTTTCTGGTAAGTTTAGTGTTCCAGAGACTGTTAACCAGGTTATGGACCGGTTAATAAAACATCCTTAAGAGAAATAAAAGTTTAAAAATAAACCAGATGATAAAATGCAGTAGAGTACACAATGCCACTTATCCACATGTCTTCTGTCTATCACCCATGATCCAGAAAATGTCTTTAGTATAAGCCATTGATAAAGATGCCTGAAAAATTTACGTATAGAAGACATAGTCACAAAATTATTTTTTTTCCTTTGATATCCCTTGTTTCCTCAAACAGAATTTACCATTCCAATTCGATTTCTGAATACATGGGAGTTAATAGAATACTCCTAATCCATTTATAGGATCTACACTAAGTAAAAAAATTAAAGACATCTGAAAACTATTTTGTGAGTCCTTATAATCCATATCAACAATCATGGAATGTATTAAGTAATAGACCAAAAATTAATCATCATATTAACCAAAAACACATAGCAAGACAAGATAACTAAATATTTTCATTTGGAAATTGGGAAATTTAGTCAATTTTAAAACTCAGCAAATGAGATCATTTCACAGAAGCAAGCTAGGTTTGCTGGTAAATTAAAATTATGACATTTTGTTTTGGTTTGGGAGGGTAGTTCCTCTTCTGTAAATTGTGTACTCACATAAGAAATATATCTATGTTCTCACAGACACTTGCTGTAGAGGTAATAATATGAAGTTAGCTCAGGGATCAGGGCCTCACAGTGCAGTGCTGGTAGTTTTTTTTTTTTTTTTTTTTTTTTGCCCTGCACCTTGAGTAAAAGTTTCCTGAGGCCTCCCCGGAAGCAGAAACCACCATGCTTCCTGCATAGCCTATGGAACCATGAGCCAACTAAAGGTATTTCTCTTGTATTTCTTTATAGCAATGCAAGAACGTACTAATACAGCTAAGCAGAGGCCATCAGGACCAGCAACAGTCTGAGATGGATGAGAGACAAAGCTAAGCTTTGAGCAGCAGCAGGAGCTGCCAGGGAGACAGAAAGGAAGGATGGAATCCTAAATTCCAGGATGTCTCCTTTAAGTCTGTAAGAAGCTCAGCCACCGTCTCCTTACCTGACTCCTCTGGGAAAGAGTTTCCCTAGGTTAAGCCATACAGGGATAGGGTAGGAGATGCCATTTGGATCTAGGAGCAGAGGGCAGAGACTCAGCAGGAAAAGTGTCTCTATGAGATGGAGACACAGTGGAACAGGTGTGTAGGTTCACAGGGCCAGCTATGGGTAGAGTTGGGTGTACATTTTTAGAAGCCACAATTCCCAAAAATCTCCTGACTATAACATCAGTGCACAGAGCCAGTCAAATGGAGGAGGAGTGGGTCCAGGCAATTCAGGAAGAAGAAAAGTAACAAATGAGTGGTTGCAGGAGGACACCTTTTCTGTCGAGGTCACTAAACAAAACATTGTCTCCTCCCCTTAACTTCGGAAACAAGCAATGGAGGGTAAAAGTGTTGCCTGGGCCCTGGGGGCAAAGGCAGTAGATAACTTCTCTGTCGTGTTCTCCAGAAGGGCCCATTCCAGCCTCACAGGCAGAGAAGTCTGTTCGGTTCCCAAGTACTAGAGATGCTGCTATAAGGGACTCCCAAATTTCCTTCCTGAACCAGAGGCTGCTCAGCCTTTTCTTCCTGTTTTATTTTTTCCCAGGAAGAAACTTGCCTGTACAATTACAAGGTTCTATGGTTCTAAATTCCAATCTAGTCTTCCACATCATTTTGAAGGTATAATATTACTTGTCAAAGTGGGATGATAGAAGATATGTGTGGACATAAATTGTTGACAAGGAAAAAAACTAAAATAAGAAAATAAGAGAGAAAAATATATGTATGTACAGTGGTTAACTAGAAATATGCCTTTTAAATATTTGGCATGTGGTATGTGGGCCTCAATGTGTACTATTGCACTAGCTTCCCAAATATTAAAGGATGTCTTTTAAAAGAAAAACCTCTTCCTAAAAGGTTAACAGTTAAAATAACCAGAGTGGCACAGGTACCAGTCATTAAGTGAAACCTTTCATCTTCCCAGAATAGTACCTGTTCCCAAGCCAGCTTCTTTGAAAATCATTTTCTCTCCTTTACTATTTAGTTTACAGATTGTATAGTAACAATACAGAAACCACAATAGTAGCAACAAAATAAAGAATATTTTTAAATGAAAACTCACATCCTAACTCTACCAAAACATGAAAATTAAACCTGAATGCTTCCCATTCCTGATATATTTTTCACGTAAATATTCAGCTCTGGGATTGCATTGTTTTTGGATTGAGTGGAAATTATTGCCTGGTCTTGAAATCTTCCATAATATGTGTGTGTGCGTGTGTGCGTGTGTGTGTGTATGTATGTATGTGTGGTGAATATATTTCTTTTTGTTCAGAGAAAACATTTTTTCAATATGTATATTTATTTTAGGCAGATTATGCTAGTAATTTTCTACAAATGTGCTTTTTAAAAAATAACCTTTAATTTAAAAAAAAATTATTCTTACTCAGTGGCCCACAATTGTTAAAAACGCTACCAATGGAGCTGGGTATGGTGACACACACCTGTCATCCCAGCTACTTGGGAGACTGAGGCAGGTGTATTGCTTAAACTTGGGAATGTGAAACCAGCCTGGGCAACATAGTGAGATCCCAATCTCAAAAATCAATCAATCATTAAAAAATAAAATAAATCACTACTAATAGCTTTTTAAAAAATAGTTCTTAACCAATTTTTCTAGCACCTTCCTTTCCTCAGTGAAGTATAGAAATATGTGGTCAGACACTGTGGCTCACACCTATAATCCCAATAATTTGGGAAGCCAAGGCATGAGGATCAGTTGATTCCAGGAGTTCAAGACTAGCCAGGGTGATATAATGAGACTTGGTCTCTAACAAAAAAATTTTTTTTCTTTAATTACCAGGGCATGATGGTGCATGCCTGTAGCCCAGCTATTTGGAAGGCTGAGGTAGGAGAATCACTTGAGCCCAGGAGGTCAAGGCTGCAGTGAGCCATGGTTGCACCACTGCACTCCATACCTGGGTGACAGAGTGAGACACAGTATCAAACACAAACAAACAACAACAAAAAGTATTTGTTTTAGAAAAAACATTTGGTGAGGTTTGGGCTTAAAAATATATTATTGTAAAATATTCATAAATATTCTCTAGTAATGATAAGATTAAAGTGACAAAGACAAAATTTTTTCCTGTGCAGTTCCATCTCTCACCTTTCCGTAATTTGTCTGTCCCATCCAGCTTCCAAAGGAAATTATTTACAAAATAATTTCTGCATCCTGGGTCTATATATCTATTGCCTATGAGGAGAGCGTTTAAGATCTGAGCCATCTTCAAGTCTTATACTTTGTGTATAGCTCTCATGTTTTTGCAGGTTAAGTAAGTTTGTATACCCTTTCTTTTATTAATCTGTGTATGGTCAGTTCATTTCGGGTAATCTTCAGAGGGTGAAAGGGGAAGCTTTTCACTTCACTCCTACTGTGACAACTAACTACCTTCTTACTTATTCAATTTTTTAGTCTATATCAACACTTTTATATACATTTACCTTTAAACAAAATTTTGCATCATTACACTTAAAATTTTATTTACCTTTTAAAAAGGAAATTAAAAATAAAATTAAAAATTATAAAATTTTACATAATAAAAATAAAATAAATGATTTATATAAAAATTAATCTGACCTGTGAAAAACACTGTCCAGAGGCCAGGCGCGGTGGCTAACGCTTGTAATCCCAGCACTTTGGGAGGCCGAGGTGGGTGGATCACGAGGTCAGGCGATCTAGACCACGATGAAACCCCTCTCTACCAGAAATACAAAAAATTAGCCGGGCGTAGTGGCGGGCGCCTGTAGTCCCAGCCACTCGTAGAGGCTGAGGCAGGAGAATGGCGTGAACCCAGGAGGCTGAGCTTGCAGTGAGCCGAGATCGTGCCACCGCAATCCAGCCTGGGTGACAGAGCCAGACTCAGTCAAAAAAAAAAAAAAAAAAAAAAGAAAGAAAAACACTATCGAGAGAATAAAAAGACAAATCACAGACTGGGAGTAAAAATTTACAAAAGCTATATCTGGTGAAGATACATTTGTTATCCAAAATATACAAAGAACTCTCAGGACTCAATAATAGGAAAACAAATAGTCTAACACAAATGTAGAGATCTGAACAGACATTTCACCATAGAATACAGATGGATGATACGTCAGCACATGGAAAGATGTTCAACATCATTCATCATTAGGGAAATGTAAATTAAAACCACAATGAGATACTGTTACATGCCTATTAGAATAGCTAAAATTTAAAAGACTGACCATACTAAACATTGGTGAGAACACAAAGGAACAGGAATGCTCATACACTGCTGCTGGAAATACAGCCACTTTGTCAGTTTCTTTAAAAGTTAAACTGGCTGGGAGCGGTGGCTCATGCCTGTAATCCCAGCACTTTGGGAGGCCAAGGCGGGAGGATCACGAGGTCGGGAAATCGAGACCATCCTAGCTAACGCGGTGAAACCCCGTATCTACTAAAAATACAAAAAATTAGCCGGGCGTGGTGGCGAGCGCCTGTAATCCCAGCTACTCCGGAGGCTGAGGCAGGAGAATGGCATGAACCCGGGAGGCGGAGCTTGCAGTGAGCCGCGATGCACCACTGCACTCCAGCCTGGGCGACAGAGCGAGACTCCGTCTCAAAAAAAAAAAAAAAGTTAAACATATCACACCACCTAGTCATTCAAATCCTGCTTATTTGCCCAAGACAAATGAAAGCGTATGTCCAAACTATTGGACAAACATTCGTAGCAACTTTATTTGAAATAGCAAAAACAACTGGAAGCAAACCAAATGTCCATCAAGAGTTGAATAGATACACCAACTGTAGAATATCCATACAATAAAACTATTTTTAAAAAACTACGGGGCAAAAAACAAAAAACCAAAGACAGAATCTAACTTCTTGGTAAATACATTCACTATTAGGGTTTTTATAACAGAGAAGTCATTCTTTATTAACACTCTTTTGACTATGAAAATATTTTGACATCAAAAATCTGCAAAATATGAAGAAACAAAGGACACACAGCTTTTTCTATTTTCTATTTTTATTTTATTTTAGTTTATTTTTTGAGAAGGAGTCTCTTTCTGTCACCCAGGCTGGAGTGCAGTGGCGCAATCTTAGCTCACTGCAAGCTGGGCCTCCCGGTTCATGCCATTCTCCTGCCTCAGTCTCCCGAGTAGCTGGGACTACAGGTGCCCGCCACCAAGCCCGGCTAATTTTTTGTATTTTTAGTAGAGACGGGGTTTCACCGTTAGCCAGGATGGTCTCAATCTCCTGACCTCGTGATCTGCCCACCTCGGCCTCTCAAAGTGCTGGGATTACAGGCGTGAGCCACCGCCCCCGGCCCCAGGACACACAGCTTTAAAATTTCTCCTTGGTCTCACCCAGTGCCAACCACCTAAAACCTCTCATTTTCCCCCAGACATTTCTTCTGCCTCCAGGATGGAGGTAGAGAATCTTGGCCTTGGCCTACGCACTGGGGACCATGCTGGGCTGCCGTGGACAGTGACGGACTCAGGTTCTCACCAGGATCCCCAAAATAGGCCCCTGACAAAAATGTTACCATCAGGGTGCGCTCCCTGATTCTTGTGTCTGCTGGAAGGAGGAAATCAAGCCAGGAACATTGTCAGGATAGAGATGAAAATGGGGCTCACTTTTCTGTCTGTTGTGATGTCAGACAAGCCTTTCAGCTGTGTCTCCTCAGCCCTCATGGAATTGTTTGATGTGGACGCACCGAGAGTCTGAACTGGGTCCCCTTTCCCTCTGCCCTTCTCTGGGGCCAGATTCTGAGCTCTCCATTCCAATTTTTCCCCCAATTTGCCCTTGCATTTATTTATCTGGATTACTGTCTGCCTGTCCCAAAGAATAAAAGCTTTATCACAGTGGGGACTTTGTTTAAAAAAATAATAATAACAGCTATATTTTTAGGATCCATGACACTGACCAGCATATCGGTGGTATCTGATAAAACATGTTTGTTGACTGAATGAACAAATATATTATTCACAATTCACATTATCCTGAACTGGCTAGAAAATTAAATACCTGATATCAGTATTGGCAACATTATGAAGTAAATATAATTCTGATACAGTGCTCGTGAAAGTCTAATATGAAATGCTCATTTTAGAAAACATTTTCTTGTAGATTTGAAAATGTTTCATCTCCATGAACTAGTTGTATATCTGCAAGTTGTGTATCTTTGGGTTAGGCAGAATAATTGCCCCCCACCAAAGACAGCCACATCCCAGTCTTCAGATAAGGTGAACATGCTAACGTAAGTTAGCATGTTCAAAGGGACTTGGCAGATGTGATTACCATTAAGGGCATTGAAATGGGGAAATTACCTTGAATTACCTTGGTGAGCCAATCTCATAATTCCTTGAGAGCAGAGAATATTTTCTGGATGCTGAGATTCAGACAGATGGCAGTATGAGAAAGATGTGGCCTGCTATTACTGGCTTTTAAAACAGTGGTAGGGGGCCACAAGCCAAGGAAAGCCAGTGACCTTTAGAAGCTGGGAATGACCCAAAGTTTACAACCAGGAAGAAACTGAGGATCTACAACCACAAGGAACTGAATTCTGCCAACAACCCAGATGCTCTTTTAGAGCCTTCAGAAAGAAATGCAGCCTGCCAACATCTTGATGTTATTTCAGTGAGAGCCATGCCAGATTTCCAACCAAAACAATTCTAAGACAATAAGTTTGTGTGTGTTTTTTAAAACTGACTCAAATCTTACAAAAATGTGTTCTTTTAAGCCACTGAATTTGTGGTAAATTGTCACAGCAGGAATAGAAAACTGATACAACCCTAGAGAAAGTCTCGTACATGTGCCCTATAAACACACAGCAGAATTTTTTTTAACTTTTTATTGAGTTAAAAAATATATATATAATTTACCATCTGTACATTTTTAGAGGACAGTTTAGTGGTGATAAATACATTTATATTTTCTTCTCTTAATCTCCTCTTCCCACTCCCCTTGCTGGCCTCTAGCAACCACCAATTTACTTTCTATCTTCATGAGATCCACTTTTTTACTGCCCACATATGAGTGACAACATGTGGTATTTGCCTTTCTGTGCTTGGCTCATTCCACTTAACATAATGGCCTATGTTCATTACGTTAAGCCAAATGGCCAGCGCCACCTATGTTGCTGCGAATGACAGAATTTCATTCTTCTTTGTATCTGAGTAGAATTCCATTATGTATATATATGACTTTTAAAATCTATTCATTTGTTGATGAGCGCTTACATTGATTCCATATTTTGTCTATTGTGAATAGTGCTGCAGTACACATCGGCATGTAGACATGTCTTTGATACATTAATTTCCTTTATTTTGGATATATATCCAGTAAAGAAATTGCTGGACCACATGGTAGTTCTATTTTTACTTTTTTGAGGAACCTCCATACTGTTCTCCATAGTGGCTTTATTAATGTGGATTCCCACCAACAGTGTACTAGTATTTCCCTTTCTCCACATCCTTGCCAGCATCTGTTATTGCCTGTCTTTCTGAAACAAGTCATTTCAACCAAGGTGAGATGATATTGCATTGTGATTTTGATTTGCATTTCTTTGACGATTAGTGATATTGAACATTCTTTCATCTTCCTATTGGCCATTTGTATGTCTTCTTTTGAGAAAATATCTGTTCAGATCTTCTGCCCATTTTTAAATTGTATTTATTTATATATTTTTAACTATTATTTTTTTAGAAGCAAGGTCTTGCTTTGTCACCCAAGCTAAAGGGCAGTAGCATAATCATAGCTCACTGTAACCTCAAACTCCTGGGATTAAGAAATCCTCCTGACCGGGCGCGGTGGCTCACGCCTGTATTCCCAGCACTTTGGGAGGCCGAGGCTGGCGGATCACGAGGTCAGGAGATCGAGACCATCCTGGCTAACACGGTGAAACCCCGTCTCTACTAAAAATACAAAAAATTAGCCGGGCTTGGCGCCGGGCGCCTGTAGTCCCAGCTACTCAAGAGGCTGAGGCAGGAGAATGGCGTGAGCCCCGGGGGAGCAGAGCATGCAGTGAGCCGAGATCGTGCCACTGCACTCCAACCTGGGCGACAGCGAGACTCCATCTTAAAAAAAAAAAAAAAAAAAAAAAAGAAATCCTCCTACCTCAGCCTCTTCAGTAGCCCATTTTTCAATCAGATTTTTTGTTTGTTTATTATTGAGTTGTTTGAGCTCCTTATATATTCTACTTGTTAATCCTTTATCAGATAGATAGTTTGAAAATATTTTGTCCCATTCTGTGGTTGGCTCTTCACTTTATTGATTGTTTCCTTTGCTTGAGGCTTTTTAGTTTGATATAATCCCATTGTCTATTTTTGCTTTGGTTGCCTGTGCTTCCGAGGTCTTACGCAAAAAAATCTTTGCCCAGACTAATGTCCTGGAGCATTTCTCCTATGCTTTCTTTTTTTCTTTCTTTTTTTTTTTTTTCACACCATTCTCCTGCCTCAGCCTCCCGAGTAGCTGGGACTACAGGCGCCCACCATCATGCCCCGCTAATTTTTTTTTTTTTTTTTTTGTATTTTTAGTAGAGACGGAGTTTCACCGTGTTAGCCAGGGTGGTCTCGATCTCCTGACCTTGTGATCCGCCCGCCTTGGCCTCCCAAAGTGCTGAGATTACAGACGTGAGCCACCGCGCCCACGTCTTTTTTTTGTTTGTTTGTTTTTTACTAGCTTCATAGTTTCAGGTCTCAGATTCAAGTCCTTAATCAATTTTTATTTGATTTGATTTTTGTGTATGGTGAGATGGGTTTAATTTTATCCTTCTACATATAGTTATTCAGTTGTCCCAGGATCATTTATTGAAAAGACTGTTGTTTTCCCAGTGTATGTTCTTGATGCCTTTGTCAGAGATGAGTTGTTTGTAAATGTGTAGATTTGTCTGCGATCTCTATTCTGTTCCACTGTCCTATGTGTCTGTTTTTATGCCAGTAGAAGTATATTGGCAATAATTAGTACAGAAAATCTGAAACAATGAAATGACAAAAGTGAATTATACTGATATAATTCATTATGCTCACTAAATGCAATAGCATACAGCTAGGAAAACAATGTAGTGCACACGGTATTAAAATACAACACAATTCAATATACACAGTGCTCACAGTGGCCATCGTTAGAGTGTTGAAGAAGGGGATGTAGTCAGCAAAAGTTGTACAGGTGACTTCAAAAGTAATCATAAGCACTTATGATTACTTTTGGCTTAATTTCTTAAACCAAGACTGGAGACACAGGTGTTCATTATGTGCTTATTATATATATAAAATCAATATTTTATAAATATATTGTTTCTGTTCAGTATTTAATAAAGTAAATCAATAGAAAAGGTTAAAAAGCAATGCACACATATTTCAAATATTTTTTGCTCCAAATTATATAAACATTGCATAGTTATTGCCCTGGGCCTGGCAAGGTGACTCACACCTCTCATCCTAGCACTTTAGGAGACTGAGGCAGGACGATAGCTTCAGCCCCAGAGGTCAAGGCTGCAGTGAACCTTAATTGCACTACTGCACTCCAGCCTAGGTGACAGAGCAAGATGCTGTCTGAAGATAAAAATGAAAATAAGTTAATAAATAAATAAATATATGTGTATATATTAACTGATTTTATTAACTATATATATATATATATATATATATATATATATATATATATATATATAGTTGTTGTCTTGGTCTATAGGCAATCTTACAGTGCTTAAGACTTTGATACTGAGAACAGATCTCCTAGGTATATGCTGTGTTTCTGGGGTGACATGATGCTCTCATCTGGCCTCTGTGAGCCTAATTCTATCTTACATTTACCCCACTCTTCAACAACAACTTGGGGAGGTGTCCCTAAACATTCCTAGGTGAACCCAAACCTGTGGCCCTCAACACATTTCTAGGTAAAGCAAGCTCCTGACATATCTGTGGATATCCTCTCATTGGAAGAAGGGGGAAGAGACCATCTCAAAATAATTCATTTAATATAGCTTTTCAGCATTAATTTTATTTTGATAAAGAGACACACTGTAAATAAAATTTCTAAAAAAACTATAAACTTTCAAGCATTCTCACGCTAAATCTAGCCCTGCTCACATGCCAGGGAAGTATAAAGGTAATCTGTTTCTCAACCTGACCAGGATGCTACAATAATTAAAAATAAACTCAATCCCTGGATCCCTACCAAAGGGACGTTTCATATGGATCAAAGTTCTGGAAAAATTATTTGCCTGGAAATAGACTAATTCTCCAAAATATAATTGAAATAATAGCCTCTGGAAAGGGCCAAATATGACTCTTAATGATACAACAGCTAAATATAGGTCTAATGCTCATTCCGTGTGGACAACAATAGCAGCCATTCCCACAAATGGCTGATTTGTGGGAAGTAAACACTACTTTTGCAGAATCTTACATGATTTCAGTAGAAGGGCAAGGACATTTCAGTTGGGAACAGATTGCTCCATGGTAATGTAATCACTGTGTACCCAACAATGGCTCTTTCTTCCTAGCATCAATGCAGATGTTATTTTCACCTTAACTATTATCATTGCTGTTTCTAACCACATAAAAATGTATCCTTTATATATCTGAAGTAGATTCATACTAGTGGTGTAACATCTCCAGCCATTTAAGGGTAAAAACAGAAAACGTATGATGTGTTTACGTACTGTTTTATACTCCTAACGCATGAAGAGAAGATCCTTTTATTCATTGCCTATACTTTTATTTCTAAACTTTCTGTAACACTTTATCTTATATCCAGCATAGAATTGAGATTTGCTTTTTGATTTAATCTGACAATATTTTTTCCTCTAATAAGAGTCAAGCCCACTTACTTTTAATGATAAATTGTGTTTGGTTATATTTTGATTACAGTATATTATGCTATGATTTATATGCACATATCTGTCTTTTGCTGTCTTGTTTGTTTTTATTGCTTTTGTTTTGATGTTGTGATATTTGGAAGAGTTAAACTTTTATTCTGATGACTACCTTATGTAATTTCATAAAATCATCGCTTTCTTTAGACAGTAGCTAATGTCTCTAGACTAAGAACAATGGTATTAGCTGTATTCTCTTTCTTGTCCTTCCTATGTGATTTTTCATCCCACAATTTGATTTAATCATATTAACTTTGATTCCCCTGGTGCCATTAAGTATGCTTACATTTCTATAAACAATATCCTTTGACTCCCAGGCATTACAGATGAGCAGTCAGTAAAATCATTCTGAGAAATACTTTCTCTTTCCTTTTCTTCCATTTTTCTTAGTTGTATCATTTCTATATTGCCAGAGCACCTACAGTTGCATTTCTTTCTGTCAGCTTTATCCAGCATTTGTTTTTGTCTTTTATTTGAAGTTAAATATATTCCTTGCTCACTACAACACTGGGGGAAGGGAGGTTTCTGTTGTCATTGTTGTGCTTGTACAGTTGTTTAGTTAAAAACATTGGCGAAAACAAAAACTGTATGTAGATGGAATGGAGATAAGACAGAAAATGAGAGAGACTGATGATAAGTGTGCCTATTCTAGACTGGGAGGCGTGCTACACTGAGTAGTGTCTCAAGGCCGCAGGAAAGGATGGTTGATTGTGAGCAGGTGGACTTTCCACTGGAGGAGAGAAGTCCTGCGCTCAACAACCTGTGCAGAACCAGAAACTGGTAATGCTTCAAATCAACTTACAGACCTGGAGGTAGAAATTTAAGAAAACTCGTTTAGCACCTAGTTACCTAGAAAATATTAGCAACTATTTGCTGAGCATCTGTCAGTCTGTCTGTAGCATGGAAGACCTGAGTACAGGGGAAACTGGATTAGTAACAGTGGGTCAGAAAATTATATAATATTCAACCAAAATTCCTGCTTTACATACACAGCACCTGGTATTTCCAGAACTAGAAGGTAAAGAAATTATTTGTGCTTGAACTTGCAGAAAACTGCCTTTTCCCTTCTTCTCTTGCATCTTAACCTGGAGCTTCCCTTTTCTTGAGCCTCAGTGTGCTTCCCAACTCAATTTATAATTGACTTCCTGCAGTTTCTCCTTAGGACAGGGCTTTGTTTTGGGGGTGGTTAATTTGTAGGGTTCATAGGAAACAGACCACTCACAGCACCTGCTTTTTGCCATCCTCACTCTCAGCTATGAGTTGAGGTCCAGGAAGCCTTCTGCCAGCCTCAGCTGCTGTTGTCAGATTAATCTGCTGAGTTCTTTTTGCCTAGTAAGAATCTCTGAATTTAGGAACATAGATGTTAGCGCTTGTATTTCTAGGTTTTCCAGTTCCCAGGGCCATTAAACATTTTTTTCTTTCCTTTCCTTCTTCCAAAAAAATTGGTGATTCGCCTGGGTCCCTGTGGTTTAACCTCACAAAAGGTCCATGATGACACCCTGTTACATTGTTTTGTCATAGTTAATACCTTGTTATCCCAGTTGCTCAGTCAGTTTTTGTGAGAGATTCAGGGATATTAATAAAACTGTGCTGCTGCTGCTGCTAACATCTTGCACAAAAGCCCTATTAATTAAAATGTTTATTTTGCATGTGATTTTGAACTTGTAATTTTTATTCAAAGTTTTTCAACAGAGATCCAGAAAAGACCCTCGTTATATTTTTAGTTTTGTGCATTGCAACACTTTTTAGTGAAAAAAAAAAATACATGAGAACAACACAAGTGATTTTAAAAGAATAAACCTACAATCCATTAATTATAAAATGAAATACTATGCAGGTGTTAAGAATGAGGGAATCAATAAGAACTTGTGTGGGGTAACTATAAACTTAAAAAAAAAGAATTAATGCTCATGTGACCATATTATCGTTAAAAAAATACAAGCATACTTGCACACACCTTCAAGCAAAATGGGTACAAGCATTTAAAAATATTTAAATTAAGTAAATGGCCCAATAATTTAACTTCGTATAATTCTATGTTCTCTGATTATTTTATATGCTAGAAACAGGCATTACTGTTTTGTTTATTTCATTTGAAATAATTGTAGTCACATGAGGTTTAAGTTATAATACAGAGAGGTCACATATGCCTATTTTCTAATTGGATACCTTATTTATTACTATTGAGTTTTGAGAATTTTTTACATATGCTAGATGTAAGTTCTTTGTCAGATACATGGTATGCAAATTATTTCTCCCAGTCTGTAATTCATTTTTTCAACCTCTTTACAGGGTCTTTCTAAGTAAAAAAAAAATAAAATAAAAAAAAAAAAATAAAAAAGTGTTTATTTATTTTAATGAAGTCCAGTTTTATCACTTTTCCCTTTTGTAGATTTTGTTTTCGACATCAAGCCTAAAAATTATTTGCCTAGCCCAAGGTCTCAAG
This sequence comes from Homo sapiens, assembly GCF_000001405.40. Taxonomy (NCBI): domain Eukaryota; kingdom Metazoa; phylum Chordata; class Mammalia; order Primates; family Hominidae; genus Homo; species Homo sapiens. The sequence goes on from NC_000002.12 coordinate 92,021,643, forward strand.
AGTTTTCTTCTGTTTTAAAAAGTTTAATGAATTTATTTATTTATTTATTTATTTATTATTTTTGAGACGAGGTTTCACCCAAGCTGTAGTGCAGTGGTGCCATCATTGCTCACTGCAGCCACTAACGGCTGGATTGAAGTGATCCTTCCACCTCAGCCACTTGAGTAGTAGCTGGGATTACAGGCACGAGCTACCATACACAACTTTAAGTTTTATAATATTACATTTTACATTTAAGCCTGTGATTTATGTGAGCTAAATTTTGTATAAAGTATAAATTTAGGTCAGTCTTAGTTTTTGTACCTGTGAATGTCCAATTGCTCTAGCACCATTTGTTGAAAAAGATATCCTTCCTTTAAACTGATTTTGCATCCTTGTTAAAAAAAAAAAAATCAGTTGAATATAGTGTGGTCTGTCACCTTTTAATAAGATAAAAACATTGGCACTCACCAGATATCAAAGTTTAGAAATTTTTTTAAAGCTAAACTTCTGAAAATTGAATAAAAACACCTCCACATGTCAAATTAGTCAATTTGTATAGGACGAATTCATTTAAATATATTAAAATACAACATAATTCAAACCACTAAAGTGATAATACAAGACTATAAATTTAAAGGCTAATTATTAAGTCAAATTGCTGTATTCTACGTGTTAGAGTGAGTTCAAAAGATCCATTGTATTACTGAATAGGCAAAAGTTTTAATTTCAGAGGATAAAACTGATATATTACTGCCACCTTGTGGATATTCTGTTATTATAGGCTATTATAAAAAGCAATGAGGGTATGTAATCTGTTCTAACAAGAAGCATTTCCTTTTTTTTGTCATTTTTATTATTGTTATTATTACATTTTAAGTTCTGAGATACATGTACAGAACCTGGAGGTTTGTTATATAGGTATACACATGCCATGATGGTTTACTGCACCCACCAACCCATCATCTACATTAGGTATTTCTCCTAATGCTATCACTCCCCCAGGCCCCGGTATGTGATGTTCCCCTCCCTGTGTCCATGTGTTCTCATTGTTCAACTCAAAAGAAAAGCAGAAGCATTTTCTGCTTTCCAAATTTCTTAAATACAATGCAACTTCATGTTTAATTTAACTAACTTAATTTTTTTGAGACAAGGTCTAGCTCTGTTGCCCAGGCTGGAGTGGAGTGGCGTGAATATGGTTCAGTGAAACCTCCACCTCCCTGGCTCAAGTGATCCTCCTTACTCAGCCTCTCGAGTAGCTAGGACCACAGGCACGCACCACCATGGCCAGCTAATTTCTTTTTTATTTTTTGTAGAGATGAGGTCTCACTTTGTTGTCCACGCTGGTCTCAAACTCCTGGGCTCAAAGGATCCTCTTGCCATGGTCTCCCACAGTGCTGGGATTTATAGGTGTGTGCCATGGCACCGGGCCTACGCAACTGTAGAGAAGCCTTTTATTCTTTCATAAAAACAGTTGTAGATATTTTCCTTATGGAATTTATTTGTGGTGAAATATTTTAATAGACAGTTTAATTTGTTAAATAATTTGTCTCAGATAATAATAATTGATTAATATTAAAACTACAAAACAAGTAGGGTCTTCTTTTTCTATGAAAAATGAAAGTTGATTCTGACATTTATGTAAACATTTTAAATATTCAAAGTATATAAATGTGAAGTCCTATCAAGAGTAATTAGACAAGAGAAAGAAATAAAGGCCATTCAAATCGGAAAGGAGGACATCAAATTGTTCCTATTTGCAGATGACATGATCTTATATATAGGAAAACCTGAAGACTCTACCAGAAAACTTTTAGAACAAACAAATTCAGTGAAGTTGCAAGACACAAAACTAATACACAAAGATTGGTTGCATTTATATATATGAACAACAAACTCGCTGAAAAAGAAATTAAGAAGGCAAACCCATTTACAATAGTTACCAAAAAAATAAAACCCAGACATAAATGTAACCAAGGAGGTAAAATGAAAGCTACAAAACACTAATGAAAGAAATTGAAGAGGATACAAACAAATGAAAAGACATTCACACTCATGGATCAGAAATATGAATGTTGTTAAAGTGACAGTACTACTCAAAAGCAACCTACAGATTCCATGCAATCTCTATCAAAATACCTATGAATATTCTTCACAAAATTAAAAAAAATCCAAAGAGATTTTATGGAATCAAAAAATATCCTGAATAGCCAAAGCCATCCTAAGCAAAAAGAACAAAGCTGGATGTATCATGCTGCCAGACCTCAGAATATACTACAAAACTGTAGTAACCAAAACATCATGGTATTGGCATAAAAACAGACACATAGACCTATGGAATAGAATAAAGAACCCAGAAAATCCACATATCTCAGCCAACGGATTTTTTACAAAGGCGCCAAGAACACTCATTGGGGAAAGGATAGTCTCTTCGATAAATGGTGCTGGAAAAACTGGATATCCATATGCAGAAGAATGAAACTAGACCTCTGCCTCTCACCCTATACAAAGATCAACTCAAAGTATCTCAAATACCCAAATATAAGACCCAAAATGGTAAAGCTACTAGAAGAAAACATAGGGGAGATCCTTCAGGACATTGCTCTGGGAAAATATTTTATGAATAAGGCATCAAAAGCACAGGCAGCAAAAGAAAAAATAAACAAATGGGATCACATCAAGCTAAAAATCTTCTGCACAGCAAAGGAAATAATAAAGTGAGTGAAAAGGCAATCTACAGAATGGGAGAAAATATAAACTCATCTGGCAGGAAATTAATATCAAGAATATACAAGGAATTCAAACATATCAACAGCAAAGAAGCACAACAATCTAATTAAATATAAACAAATGCTCTGAACAGACATTTCTCAAAAGAAGACATACAAATGACCAACAAGTATATGAAAAAATGTTCAACACCACTAATCAGCAAGGAAATGCTAATCAAAGCCACAGTGAGGCATCATCTTACTCCAGTTAGGATGGCTATTATAGAAGAGACAAAAATAACAAATGCTGACAAAGACGTGAAGAAAAGGGACTTTTTTTTTTTTGACAGAGTCTCACTCTCCGTCCAGGCTGGAGTGCAGTGGTGGTGTAATCTGGCTCCCTCTGCTTCTAGGGTTCAAATAGTTCTCCTCCCTCAGCCTCCTGAGTAGCTGGAGAAAAAGGAACTCTTATGCACTGTTGGTAGGAATGTAAATTAGTGCAGCCGGTATGGAGAACAGTATTGAAACACCTCAAGCAATCCCACTACTGGGAATTTATCCAAAGGAAAGAAAAGCATTATATTGCAGAGACATCTGCATCCCCATGTTTATTGCAACAGTGTTCACAATAGCCAAGATATGGAATCAACCTAGGTTTCCAACAACAGATGAATGGATTTTTAAAATATGGTATATATACACCAAGGAATGCTATTTAGCCATAAAAAAGAATAAATAAAATCCTGTCATTCTCAGCAACATGGATGGAACTGGAGGATACTATGCTAAGCAAAATAAGCCAGGAATAGAAATTTCAACACCACATGTTCTCACTCACGCAGAAGCTAAAAAAAAGTTGATCTCATAGAAGTAAAAAGTAGAACAGAGGATACTGCAGGCTGAAAAGGGTAGGGAGAAAGGAGGAATAGTAAGAGATTTGTTAATGGATACAAAATTACAGCTAGGTAAGAGTAATAAGTTCTAGTGTTCTATAGTACTGTAGATGACTATAGTTAACAATGCTATATTATGTAGTTTAAAATACCTAGGAGTAGTTTGAATGTTCCCAACACAAAGAAATAATAAATGTTTGAGATGATAGATATGCTAATTGCCCTGATCTGATCACCATCTACATGTACTGAAACATCCCCGTAGAGCCATGAATATGTATAATCTTTGTCAATTTAAAAAGTAAAAAAAAAAAAAAATTAATCTTGGAGAATGCATTTGAAGGACTTGTACTCAAGAAATCAACTTAAGAACCTGAGTCTCCTTGGAATTTGTGTTTTCTAGACCAGTACTTCTCCAAATTAAAGCAAATTTAGGCTGGGCATGGTGTCCCATGTCTATAATCTCAGCACTTTGGAAGGCCGAGGAGGGCAGATCACTTGAGGTCAGGAGTTCGAGACCAGCTGACCCAACATTGTGAAACCCTGTCTCTACTAAAAATACAAAAATTAGCCGGGCATGATGGCATGTGCCTGTAATCCCAGCTACTTTGGAGGCCGAGGCAAGATAATCGCTTGAACTGGAGAGGTGGAAGTTGCAGTGAGCCGAGATTGCACCACTGAGCTCCAGCCTGGGCAACAGAGCAAGACTCTGTCTCAAAAAAAAAAAAAAAAAAAAAGCGAATTTAGTTCACTTTGGTATTGTGTCAAAATGTTGATTCTTTTAAAGTAAATCTAAAGAATTTACGTGTAGTTGAAGCTTGTCATCTGTTAATTTTTTTAATTAAAATATAATATTTAGATTCAGAGTAAATCTAAAGTGAGACCTGAAGCTGCTCTCAGGTGATACTGATGCTGCTTATTTTTGCCCAGGTTTTGAGTCACAAGGTTCTAAATTATTGTTTTGAAGTCCTACATGAGTAATCACTTGGAGAGCTCAATTAACACCCAGGAACAGACTAATTATTAATAAACCAGAATCTTCAGTATTAGGCTTCAATCATTGGCAATTTTTTTTTTTTGACACACAGTCTCCCACTGTCGCCCAGGCTGAAGTCCTGAGGCCAGAATGAGATTAGGACATGGTTCCTTTGCCTAAGTAAAGTGAGGCAGACAATGGAATACTTCAGACTTCAAATTAGTACGGTAAGTGCTATGAAGAGTATGATTAGAGTTCATTATTTACCCAGAAAAGGGTCACTCAGCCCAGCCTGGGAGTTAGAGAAGGTTTCCTGAAGTCTTGACATGTGAGTCATGAAAGGACATAAGGAGTTAACCACGTGACAAAATAAGCTAAGGGAATTCTCAACAAAAGACAAAATATTGGCAAAGGCTTTTAGGCATATACTAGCTTAGTATTATTGGGAGAATGTAATTATTTTCTGTATTTCAAAAGTGTAAAATACAAAGTGGGCCATGGTATGAGATAAACCAGTAAATATGTTCTGGGAACAGATCATAGAAGGGCGTGTATGCTGTCCTAAGGAGCTTAAACTTCAACTTCAGTTCATGGGAGCCAATGACAAGATCTGAGCAGGGGAAGGATGTGGCTAGAGGGGCATTTTAGACAGACAAGATCCTCTGTGGATTACACCTAGGCTAAGCAACGGGTTAAAGTTGTTGTCTTAAGACAATAGTCCAGGTAAAAGATAATAAAGTTTTAAATTAGGATGTTAGTAGGAATGAGGAAGAGGGATGGGTTTCAGAAATAGTAAGGAAATGTATTAGCAGGACTTGATTAGTGATTGACTTGGGGAAGGAGGGGAAGATAGAGTTCAGGATGACTCCGAGACTGTCTGGTGTCGGTGGCTAATGACTGAAGCTATTAATAGAGGGAGGAAATGCAGACCAAAAGCAGGCCCGGGGTGAGAGATGATAAATTTGAATTTTAACATGTTGAGTTTGGACATCCAGGATGAAATAACCACAAAACATTTAAATATACGAATCTGAAAAGGTAAGCATCATAAGCATATGAGCTATTGGTAAAATTCTGATACTTAATGAAGTCTTGCAGGGAGGCAGTACAGAGGCAAGCAATGGGCTGGGGATAAAACATAGGGAAATATTATTTAAATAAAGATGAAAGAAAAGGAGCCCACAAAGGAAGCTGAAAAGGCATAGTCAAAAAAAGAGGCTTGCCAAAGTGCCACCTTTGAAGCTCTGCTGTTACACTTTATAAGGAAACTTTTGGTTACCTGAGATTGCATGCATTTATAAAAGTTTCTATTATTAGGAAGACAATAATAATGGTAAGGTTCTTTCTCATTGTTGTCAGTGTAATTTATTTAATTATAGAACCTAGTTCCAGGATGCTTAATCTGAAGTATATACTTGGGGCAAAATGAATTATAACTTAATAATAATCTGGAATTTTTCTCTCTAACTTGACATATTTTAATTCTTGCTAGATTTTCAAAATGTCATACCTCGAACCACCACCAGATGGCTATGAGAATGTTACAAATATTGTGCCACCATATAATGCTTTCTCAGCCCAAGGCATGCCAGAGGTAAAATAAAATACATTTGTAACCCAAGTCTTTAAATGGTTCTTTTGCTATATAAAACCTGTATAGAGGACTAAAACCAGGGAAATTAGGTGAATCATTCATGCGGATTCATTGTTTGATATTCAGTACTATGAAAACCTCATCCCTCAAATTTAAAAATAGAAAAGAACACCAGACAGAGAAAAAAGAAACAAAACAAATACATTAAAAACTGACCCTGCTGAAGCAGATGCCACTCTTTGAAATAACAAAGAAACTGCTGAACACGCCTTTAATTCAGTGAGGCAGTAGGTGTTTTTTTCTTTGTTTGTTTTTGTTTCTTTTTTTTTTTTTTTTTTTTGAGACGGAGTTTCGCTCTTGTCACCCAGGCTGGAGTGTAGTGGCACAATCTGGGCTCACTGCAACCTCCGCCTTCCAGGTCCAAGCAATTCTCTTGCCTCAGCCTCCTGAGTAGCTGGGATCACAGGTGCACACCACCACAGCCTGCTAATTTTGTATTTTTTTTAGTGGAGGCGGGGTTTCTCTATGTTGGTCAGGCTAGTCTCGAACTCCCAACCTCAGGTGGTCTGCTCACCTGGGCCTCCCAAAGTGCTGGGATTACAGGCGTGAGCCACCACGTTAAAAAGGGAAACTTCCTATTTGCCCTCTAAAGGATTGCAGAAAATGAATGGACAAAACATAAATTAATAGAAGAAAGAGGCAAAAAAAAATTCTGTAAAATGTAGGCGAAAAATCACAGGGTCTCACTCAGTTACCCAGCATGAAGTGCAGTGGTGTGATCATGGCTCCTTGCAACCTTGAATTCTCAAGCACAAGTGATTCTGCCCCCTAAGCCTATGGAGTAGCTGGGATCACAGGGGCATGCCACCATGCCCACATACATGGGTATTTGCTGGAGAGGAGATGGAGACTCTCTGTCCTGGATGTGAGACAGGTGGCTGGCATCTGGGTAAGGATGACATTCCCTCATTGCTAAAGAGTAAAAGAGGAAAGTGTCATGGATAGTGCAAGCAGGGACATGCCCTGACCTAGTGAGGTCCAGAGGCTTATATTGTCCTTCATAGGAGAGTGGGAAGAAGCGAGTGTATGCAACCCAGGGGAAATAAATGACCTAAAATAAAAGAAATAGATCATCAGAAGTGTAGACGTATTAGTCAGGGTTCTCTAGAGTGACAGAATTAAAGGACTATATACATATATATATGAAGGGGAGTGAGATGGTTAATAATGACTGTCAACTTGATAGGATTGAGGGATATGAAGTATTGATCCAGGGTGTGTCTGTGAGAGTGTTGCCGAAAGAGATTAACATTTGAGTCAGTGGGCTGGGGAAGGCAGACCCACCCTTAATCTGGTGAGCACAATCTAATCTGCTGCCAGCAAATATAAAGCAGGCAGAAAAATTTGAAAAGGAGTGACTGGCCTAGCCTCCCAGCCTACATCTTTCTCCCATGCTGGTTTCTTCCTGCCCTCAAACATTGGACTCCATGGCTCTCCTTTCTCATCAGTTTGCAGACAGCCCATTGTGTAACTTATGATCCTGTAAGTTAATAAACTCCCCTTTATAAATAAATATATATATGTGTGTGTGTGTGTGTGTGTGTGTATGTATATATATATATATGTATATATCCTGTTAGTTCTGTCCCTCTAGATGCCACTGGCTAATACAGGAAGTTTATTAAGTATTAACTCACACAATCACCAAGTCTCACAATAGGTCATCTGCTGGATGAGGAGCAAAAAGAGCCAGCCAGAGTTCCCAAACTGAAGAACTTGGAGTCCATGTTCGAGGGCAAGAAGCATCCAGCGTGGGAGAAAGATGTAGGCTGGGAGGCGAGGCCCGTCTCTTTTCACATTTTTCTGCCTGCTTATAGTATGGCTGGGTTGGCAGCTGATTGGATTGTGCCCACACAGATTAAGGGTGGGTCTGCCTTTCCCAGCCCACTGACTCACATGTTAATCTTTTTTTGGCAACACCCTCACAGACACACCCAGGATGAATACTTTACATCCTTCAATCCAATCAAGTTGACACTCATTATTAACCATCACAAGCCCACCCCTTGTGAACTTGAACCCACACACATCTCCTGAGATCATACATAATCTTAAAATACAGACAATAGTAAGGTCATAATTACCCCTAACATAATAAACTATCCTTCCTACAACTGGAAATGCACCCATCCCCAACCCAAATACTCTTACATAAAGTAAACAATACTTAAATGCTGATATGAGGTCAGCAAATCTATGTCACCTGATAAAGAAAAGGGAAATGAAATGAAGATATTTTCTTAGTACAAGTGCATACATGCACAAACATGTTTTTAACAAAAGAAGAAGGAAATACTCATGATAGTTCCAGTCCTCATTTCTGCAGCTGGTCAGGTGGTCGTAGCTGGTATTGATAACTACTTTCTTCCACTATTCATTCTGTATTCCCTTTGCCTTCAGCAAGCACCTCAGCAGGTCGTGACCCGGAGAGGATCTGGACCATGTGTAGTCCTACCTGGATTGGGTATAGTTTCCCATTTACCTTAATCAGAGTTCATGATAATACCAAGAGACGCCCTAATGGATCTCCTATATTCCATGCATACTCTTCCTCACTTCCGTTGTGGAGTAGCGGACTGACTTCATCTTGATAGTCTGGGTCAATCACTGCTGCCAACACTGTAACTCCATTCTTAGCTTGTTGACTTAAAGGTAGGAGGACCCCAAAGCGTCCAAGTGGCCATCTTAACTTCCAGTTTAATGGAATCGTTATTGTGTCTCCTGGTAGCAGCGTTCTTCCCTCTGGAGCTAAGATGACTAGTAAAGCAGAACCTAATGTCGTGGGAACAGAAAGCAAACATTTTGCCAGTGCATCATAGTGAGTGGTTCCACTTTCACATCCACCCCTTGAATCCTGGATCTGTGAATCCTGGTTATGGGAGAAACAATACCATACATTGGGCGCTGATTCAGAGCACACATGGTCTTCTGGAGTATGGTGCCCCGGCCCGGCAAAGTATTGTAACCTAGTTGACGTTGTAATCGCGACCTCAAAAGGCCGTCCCACCATTCTATCAATCCAGCTGCTTCAGGAAGATGGGGAATATGGTAAGACCAGTGAATTCCGTGAGCATGAGCCCACTGCCTCACTTCTTTACCTGTAAAGTGAGTGCTTGGTCAGAGGTAATGCTGTGTGGAATACCGTGATAGTGGATAAGGCATTCCTTGAGTCCATAAATGGTAGTCTTGGCAGAAGCATTGCATGCAGGTAGGCAAGCCCATATCCTGAGTAAGTGCCTGTTCCAATGAGGACAAACCTCTCTCCTTTCCATGGTGGAAGAGTTCCAATATAATCAACCTGCTACCGGGTAGCTGGTCCATCACCCCAGGAAATGACGCCATACAAAGGGTTCACTGTTAGTCTCTGCTGCTGCTGCTGGCAAATTGGGCACTCAGCAGTGGCCACAGACAGTTCAGCCTTGGTGAGTGGAAGTCCACATTGCTGAATCCATGCATAGCCTCCATCCCTGCCACCATGGCCACTATGTTCATGGGCTCATTGGACAATGACAGGGGTGTCTGAGGAAAGAGGCTGAGTGGTATCCACAGAACGGGTCATCTTATCCACTTGATTATCAAAATCCTCCTCTGCTGAAGTCACTTGTTGGTCAACACTCACACAGGGTACAAATATCTTCAGTTTTTGACCACTCAGAGAGGTCCATCTACATACTCTTTCTCCAAGTTTCTTTGTCACCAATTTTCCAATCATGCTTCTTCCAAGTCCCTGACCATCCAGCCAAACCATTGGCTACAGTCCATGAATCAGTATATAACCGCACATCTGGAAATTTCTCCTTCCATGCAAAGTGCACAATCAGGTGCACTGCTCAATGTTCTGCCCACTGGGAAGATTGTCCTTCACCACTGTCCTGCAGGGATGTCCTAGAAAGGGGCTGTAGTGCTTCAGCTGTCCACTTTTGGGCGGTACCTGCCTATTGTGGAGAACCATCTGTGAACCAGGCCCTAGTCCTCCCTTCCTGTGTCAACTGCTCAAAGGCAAGTCCCCATGAGGTCATCAGTGCAGGCCGCGGGAGAGAAGGCAGGGTGGCAGGAGTAGAGACCATGGGCACTTGAGCCACTTCCTCATGTAACTTACTTGTGCCCCCCAGGACCTGCTTGAGCCCAATCACTTATACACCATTTCCATTTGATGATGGAATGCTGCTGTGCATGACCCACTTTATGGCTACATGAGTCAGAAAGCACCCAGTTCACGATAGGCAGTTCAGGTCGCATGGTGACTTGTTGACTCATAGTCAAATGTTCAGTTTCCACAAAAGCCCAGTATAGGACAAGAGCTGTCTCTCAAAAGGAGAGTAGTTAACTGGAGAAGATGACCGGGCCTTGCTGCAAAATACTAGAGGCCTCCACCATGATTCACCTATGGAGGCCTGCCAAAGCCTCAAAGCAGCATTCCTATCTGCCATGGACACGTCGGGGGGACCCAGCCTCCCCTTCATTCAAGGGGTTCTGGGTCCATAACCTGGCTCAAGGCTGGAAATTGATTGAGGGGCCATGAATCTCTGTTTTTATAATTCCAATTAGTCTTTTATCTGTTTGACCTTAAGTTTCCTCCTTACGTAAATTAAGTAGGAATGCATTAGTCTTCCTGTCAGTTTCACTTCTAGGAACACTGTGATTAGTTAGCCAATGCCAGAGCTCTACATGAGTCAGACTGTTCAGATTGCTGCTTTGTCTTTTCTGCCCATTACGGTAGCTACGCCCACCGTGCCTTTGAGGGTTGAGTGCTACCACTTGGCCCCTGCCACTTCAGGATCCAATTATTCCAAATTGTATTTAACTTTTGTAACTGAGTGACTGCAGTTCTCACCATTAGATCTGACATACAGAGAAGAGCCTTTACAGGGCTCTTCAAAGATGCAGGTGCTGTCCTCACAAATCTATTTTGCAAGGTGTTTGTCAAGGGTATTAGGTACAGAGTCGCTAAACTCCTTGCCTCTCACGAGGGATGATTCATTAGTGTCAAATGAATTTGTTTTGCATAGCTCTTTAAACCTTTCATGCCAAGAACTGTCAATATTCTCTACACTATTAAAAGTAGAGTCCTTAGCATTTTGGGATCTAATCATATTTAGCAGCCAAATCCAGAAACCCCAAAACCAACAAAAGAACTCCAACCTTAATATTCTGTTCCTGCAGAACCATTCCTGGTACCAAAATCTGTATTAGTGAGGGTTCTCTAGAGGGACAGAGGGACAGAACTAATAAGTTATATATATATATATATATATATATATATATATATATATATATATATATATATATATATATATATATATGGGTTTATTACATATTAACTTACAGGATCACAAGGTCCCACAGTAGGCTGTCTGCAGGCATGAGGAGTGAGGAGTAAGGAGAGCCAGCTCGAGTCTCAAAACTAAAGAACTTGGAGTCCGATGTTCAAGGGTAGGAAGCATCCAACACGGGAGAGAGATGTAGGCTGGGAGGCTGGGCCAGACTCAGTTTTTCACTTTTTTCTGCCTGCTTTATATTCACTGACAGCTGATTAAATGGTGCCCATAGATTAAGTAGGGGGTCTGCCTTCCCCAGACTACTGACTCAAATATTAATCTCCTTTGGCAACACCCTCACAGACACACCCAGGAGCAATGCTTACATCCTTCAATGTAATCAAGTTGACAATCAGTATTAACTATCACAGGATTACAGACCTGAGCCATCACACACAGTGTTATTCTGTATTTCATACAATTTCCTGATTTTCCCATTTTATCTGTGACTTAATAAAGTTTTTCAGCTATGACCCCAAACTGGTAATACTTGAAAGCACATTCAAATGTATTTTGCAACAATTCGTAACTGGCAAAATGTTGAGCCTTGTGGAAAGAGTCACCTTACTTCCCCATCAGCTGTCAATTCCCCATCATTACTATCACTTCTGGGAGCACATTTTCCAAAACTCCTTTTCTCTCTATGGTTTCTTTAGAGTTGCTCCATGAGGTTACAATAAGTTACAACTAATTACTGTCATGAGATTGGGAAGTCAGAGTGGTGGATTCATGTACACTGACACCTGAAGTAAAACACATGCAGTTAGGTGTGGACTGGAGAATCACCTGGAGATGTGCTGCAGGCAGCTGAGAACATCAGCACCCCCAGCCCTGGGCTTCCCAGACCAGACTGAGGATCATCACACGGTGTTCAGCACATACCACCAGGGGCAGGTGCACCCTGGCTTCTGAAGTAGCACCTGAGAATCCCCTGTGTCTAGTACCTGCTTCATGAATAACACTCCATAGGCTTCAGAAAGACTGTGGTTTAGACTCTAATTTATTCAACTTGAATAATTTCTCCTTGAAATACTGAGAATAGCTTCTCTTTTGCTGTACAAATTCCGATTATCCCATAACACAGACTCCTCAGCTGGACTTATCTCTCTTCTTTATTCAGTCAGGACAGGCATTGTCACGTCTTTTCTGCTGGGGATGAGGGCAAAAGAGGCTTAGGGTTCAGAGGAACCTCCCTGGCCTCCTCTAGGAAAATCTCCCAATGACTTTCCAAACCTGACTGAGTTTGAGAACTTCCCTCAGCAGATAGAAGCACCAGAAGGAGCACTGGGGCAGCCCAGCCTCACACATCTGCTTCCTTGGGGTTTATGTTATGACTTGTAACACTGTGGGAGGGGTACTGTCACTCTGTTGACAGTAATAAGCTGCAAAATCTTCAGGCTGCAGGCTGCTGATGGTGAGAGTGTAATCTGCCCCAGATCCACTGTCACTGAACCGAGAGGGAATCCCACTTTGCAGACTGGATGCAGCATAGATCAGGAGCTTAGGAGTTTTCCCTGGTTTCTGCTGATACCAATTTAAATTATTGCTAATGCCCTGACTCGCCCGGCAAGTGATGGTGACTCTGCCTCCTACAGATGCAGACAGGGAGGATGGAGACTGGGTCATCTGGATGTCACATCTGGCACCTGAAGTTAGAAACATAAAAACAAATATTCTTGCAATTAATCATGTTATCAGAGGACTTCCCTGAAGTTCCAGACAGTACTGAGCACACTGACCGAGTATAATCCTAGTGTTCTCCTTCCTTACCTGGCAGCCAGAGCCCCAGGAGCCCCAGGAGCTGAGTGGGGGCCCTCACGTCCGTGCTGTGTCCTGACTGGGGCTGACTCCTGCACCGGGTGTGAGCAGCCTATAAGAAGTCTTCAGGGCAGGGGGCTGTGCTCTAGGAACAGGCAAATCAGCAGGGGATGGGGCAGGCTGAGCACAGCTGCAGGGCCGGCTCATCTCAGTAACTCAGCACACGGGCGCAGTATCCCCAGAGTCCCAGGTCAGACCAGGGCAGCACAGATTTACCTTGAAACAGTACACTTCTCATTGGTGGCCATACGGTTACAGAACATATGTTTGGAGTGAATTTTCAAAATTTTAAATCAACCTAAGACTAGATTAAATAATATATTTATACTTGTATTAGGAGTGTATAGGAAAGCATCATTTTTGGCAGAAAATTTACAATAAAGTTATAGAGTGTGGGGCTGTCAGAAATTTCAGTTAGTCTCAAAGGAATTTGATGAGTGTAAAAGTATTTAGTGCTATAATAACAATGTCTCTGTCAGTGTGAAATTGCTTCTTTCTTGAAATGAATATAAAAAGAATTTATGAGAAGCATCTTTAATAAATTCAATAGAATTTACTAACAAACTTAAGACATTGTTCCTAGGAGTAAAAGGAAAAACAATTCTCTGAAGATGCACAAAGATGATAACTGTGTCACGCATAGATCTGCCATTATCCAGAGCTATGGGTCTCTTTAAGACCCAGGGGCTAAATGGGCTGCACCTTATTCTTGGCGTGATGATCCCCATATTCTATCCCCTTTCCTGCCTTTGGTATAATTTCTTATGGTTCTCCAGCATGGAGAGCTGACTGGTAATACCAGGTCTCATTATTTCAAAATCTCTGTTTCACTCGCGGACTATAGGAGCCTGGATTAAAATCAACTTGAAGCCCTCTATCAATCTAGGCTCAAATAGTCAATTGTTTCAAAGTAGGATGACAAAGGCCACATCCCCTGAGTAATGCTCTGAGCTGCGCTCCCCACCAGCCTGTTCCTGGGGTCTCAGGAGCATCTGCCCTAGAGTCTGGCTTTCTGGAGAGCAGGTGAGGGGGGAAAAGCCAGGTCAGTGAACCTCTCTCCTTAGCGAGGGCAGCTGCTGCCCAATGCATGTTCTTGCCATGCACCAGGGCATCATCCTGACCCAGATGCCAGCCACCCTGTCTCACATCCATTTAGAGAGAATCTCCATCTTCTGCCAAGACACTGCCCATGTAGATGAAAAAGTATTTTGCCTCCAAACATATCTTAAGTACTGATTTGCACCTCAATACTTCACACAGATGCCTTTGCCCAGGGCGTGTCGGCCTGGCTCAACAGCAGGGGAAGTGGAGCCAATTACATCAGTGTCAGTGGACTGAGAAATACTCCAGGGAGTAGTTCTCATGCACGACTACCAGTGGCCAGACCAAGGTAGTGCAGCCTGTGCACAAACCTCCTGCTGCTTTTCCAGAGGACTGGATCTCTGGGAAATGGCTACTGAACAGGCTGCCAGGATCCATATATCCAGATTCAGAGAGATACATCTCTGGATTCAAATGCACTTTTTCTTTGTGCATAATTTTAGCAGTCATTGTTACTACGCCTTGGGGATTCTAGACATTATACTTCAGCTGACTCTCTATGGCCCTTTCTCCCCTTCACTGCTCTGTCTGAACCTGGGGAAGCAGCTCAGGCTGCAAATGAGGCAGACCTCATGGCCTGGAATTAGCATCCCCTAGGAAGGCTGCCAATCAGTGATGACAAGGGAGGTGTACACATCCCGCAGCTCCCTCACCTCTCAGATGGAATAACAGAGGCATTTTTCCTGTGTTTGTATGTGGGCTTGAGCTCTCGTCATCCTCAGAGGTGGCTCCTTCTGAGGCACCTTTCACTTTCCCTTTCCCTCCTCCCCTCCCTTGCTCACTTGCTTGTTTCCCGCACTTTGTAAATATACTGCCCGCATGCGAATCTTTGGCATCCTTCTCTCTGAGGGGACCCAACCTAATGCATTGGAAAAATCCTCATTCTTGGAGGGCATCGTTGGTTTGAATTATTGCCACTTCTCATGTTTTAATGCCTAGGGAAATTCCAAAAATTTAGGAAATCTTTAAATCCCCTTTGCCAATCTTTCTTAGATTTGATTTTAGCAGAGGTTCATTTTCTCTAGGTCACAAAATCACAGAAGCCTTCCACAAATGGCTACACAACATAGAGTCCACATAGAGCAGAGACTCAGAATCTTCCAGGATTTGACATCCACACATCAGACAGTCCTAGAGTCTCAGGTTTTTTCTAGGTCGATCGCCTCGTAAATCTGCCTTGTGATATTTTTATTCTACCTTAGGGGAAGACCATTGTGGGGATGATGAGGGTTGTTTGTGGAATGAATAATACACCCACTAAAGACATCATTGTTCTAATATCTGGAATCTATGATCATTACTTATGAACAAGTCAAAAATAACTTGGCAGACGTGGTTGAGAATTTTGGGGTCAGGAGAGTATCCTGAATTATCTGGGTGGGACCATCATAATCACAAGGGTCCTTATAATAGGGAAGGAGGAAGGTAACAGCCAGAGAGGACCTGGGACAACGGACAGGGAAACTGGAGTGATGGAGGAAGGGGCCATGCTGCTAGGAATGTGGGAACATCAGAAAGATGGAATGCTCGATATTGGATTTTCCCTCTTGAAGCCTAGAATGAATAGAGCCCTATTACTCCTTGATTTTACTTCATTGAGACTTCTGACCTCCAGAAATGTAAGATAATACACTTGTGTTATGTGGAGCAGTAAGGTTGTGGTAATTTGTTACAGCAGCAACAGGAAACCAATGCAAGGGGAAGGGGTGTGTTTTACTTCCCTAGTGTATCACTGTCCTCTGTTCTCCCAAATAGTTCTGTGTTTTTGTGTTTGCTGTCAATTTCAACAAGAGACAGAAAACATTTTTCTATGAGGGGAGCTAGCACCACAATTCTTCTTACGTAGAAAGTGTCTTGAGTAATTCTCTGGGTTAGGTCTTGTACAGTCTTGGTATCTGAGAGCCTGGAGGTCATCCCTCACAGCACATGAGAAGAGGAAGGGGATGCGGGTTTGCTGTTTTAACATTTGTAGGGCAAATTAGATGTACAAGACCTATTCTTTTTATTATTATTATTATTGTTCTTTAAGTTCTAGGGTACATGTGCACAACGTGCAGGTTTGTTACATATGTATACATGTGCCATGTTGGTGTGCTGCACCCATTAACTCGTCATTTACATTAGGTGTACCTCCTAATGCTATCCCTCCCCCCACCCCACGACAGGCCCTGGTGTGTGATGTTCCCCTTCCTGTGTCCATGTGTTCTCATTGTTCAATTCCCACCTGTGAGTGAGAACATGCAGTGATTGGTTTCTTTGTCCTTGCGATAGTTTGCTGAGAATGATGGTTTCCAGCTTCATCCATGTCCCTACAAAGGACATGAACTCATCCTTTTTTATGGCTGCAAGCGAGGACTGAGTCAGAGAGATGGGGATGGCAGAGGAGACAAAATGTGGTCAGGGCCGTGTAAGATGTGACCCTGCTGCCATATCTGAAAGAAAGGCTGTTGGTGTTTGTAAAGGCTTTGGGCAAATTGTGCTTTGTAGACAAAACTGTAGAAGGGTCTGGGTTTAAGCTTAGTGTCAGCGTGATGAGGACTAGAGGTTGCAGTGAGCTTGTGTTAAGAAATCCACCCTGCACTTCTGGCTTTGTCTCTTTCCTGGTTTTATAGGTGGTGGGTTCCTCTATGGAATGAACGTGGCTCTGTGGAAGGAACATAGTTAAGGTCAGACAGACCTAGATTCCAAGTTCAGCTTCAACAACTGCTGACCAAGTGACTTTTATGCAAATCAGCCATGTGCTGTCATGAACAGTTTCCTCATGTGTGAAATGGGGCACTGAGGATGTGAAGGGGTGTCCTGAGGGTTCCGCCAGCTGATGCACCATGAAGTGTACATACATGTATAGACAGACACACACACATACATGAGAAGAGTATCTAGTGCCCCTTTTATGCATCCTTGAGTAACTCAGAATGTTATGTGAGATATTAACAGTCATATGTCATTTTCAACTAAAATTATCAATATTTATCTTATAACTAACAGATGCTTCTCTGTACACTGTAGGTTTCATGTACATTTCTTCAATCACAAAATTTTTCAACAATCTATTTACATCTAGTATCAGAAAGTTAAGCAAGGAGATTGCAAACCAACACAACAACTTTAGTCTGGATTTTCCCGGAGCCCCATTTGTGTTAGTGTCCTCGGGCTACTGTAATAAGTTCTCAAAAATGTGGTAGCTTCAAACAACAGGAATGGAATCTCTCATAGTTCAGAAGTCCAGATCAGTTTCACTGGGCTAAGATCTTGGAGTCATCAGTTCTGGCTCCTTCTGAAGCTCTAGGGAGCAGTCTGATTTAGCTCTTCCAGCTTCTGGTGGCTTCTCTCTCCCGGGATGTGGACACATCACTGCAATCTCTGTCTCTGTGTTCACACTGCCTTCTCCACTTCAGTCTATGCTAAATGTCTCTCTACCTCTTGTTTTTTTTAGGACACTTGAGTTTGCATTTAAGTCCCAGTTGATTAATCTAAGACCATCTCCCTGTTTCAAGCTCCTTAATTTACACCTGCAAAAGCTGTTTTCCCAAATGAGATACATGCATAGTCTTCTTGGAATGAAACCTCACTATTTGGGGATGATACTCAGTACTACACCATTACATAACCAGGTCTCAGTGTTAGTCCTGTACATACATCACAATCTCTCTCTCTCTCTCTCTCTCTCTCTCTCTCTCTCTCTCTCTCTCAATGTCCACACACCCTGGCTTCCTCCTTTTCTCAATGTCATAAATCTCTTCAATTCCTTAAGTGTATCCAGTGATACCTATAAACAAATAAGTATCTGAGAAAAGTCTCAATCAGTTTAGAAATTTATTTGGTCAAAGTTAAAGAAATATCAGTGAAACAGCCTCAGGAGGTCTTGAGAACGTGTGTCAAAGGTCGTCGGGCTACAGGTTGGTTTTACACGTTTTAGGCAGACATAAGATATCAATCAATACGTGTAAGCTGCACATTGTTTTGATATGGAAAGGTAGGACAGCCCGAAGGAGGGGGGATGTTGGGGACTTCCAGGTCATAGGTGGATTCAAAGATTTCATAGGTGGTTGAAAGAGTTTATCTAATGACCTGTAATCAACACAAGGGAGTTTCTGGGTTTAGAAAAAGGGTTTTGGAGCCAAGGTTGCATCATGCAGATGAAGCCTCCAGGTAGCAGGCTTCAGAGAGAATAGATTGTAATTGTTTCTTAGTAGACTTAAAAGGTGCCAAACTCTTAGTTAAATCTCTCTGGGTCAGGAAAGAGACTTAAAAAGGAATCTCTACAGAATGTAGACTTTTCCCACAAGAACCAGCTTTGCAGAGGCATTTTTAAATACATTAAATAACAATATCTTGGGGAAAATACTTTGATTTCTCTTAGGACGTGGTATCTGCCACATTGGTAACTTATTGCTATAAAGAGTTTTCTTTGTCAGTCTCAAGGTCTCTGTCTTCATATTAAAAGCTGGTCAGTTGTGCCTGAATTTTAAAGGGAAGAGGGTAAGTTAAGGCATATCCAATCATCCGTTCCGATTATGGACTGCATTGTATTTCAGGTTGATTTTGGTGTGTCCTTGGCTGAGAGGAGGAGTTCATTCAGTTGGTTAGGGAGCTTAGAGTTTCATTTTTGGTTTACACACCTATGTCCAGGTAAGAGGGCCCCACACAGGAGGGCTTGCTCAGAACCTGGCTTGCAGGGCTGCTTACAGACCTTCTATGTCTCCTGTTGTCATGCACAAGGAAGGACACAGCCAATGACAACCCTCAGCCATCCGGGGAGAAGCTGTGTCTGCAGAGGACGGTCAGGAGCTGTGAGTCTAGAGACCTGTGATTGTCTTCAGGGGCCTGTGGTCCTCGGCTTTCATAGGAGTTGTGGGGACACTGGCTCAAATAGCATCCACCAGGATTCCAATCAGAATATCTCATTCACAGAAGGCAGTGGGTGATATGACAGCACAGAGGGACTCTGTGGGTCCAGCTGCATGGAGCACTCTGGGAGAGTCACTGGCACCCGTGGTAGACAGAGCTTCATTCAACTTCTGGAGCACACGGATTTAGATCTCTTTACATCATTTTGAAAGACCATTTACCATTCTGAAGGAAACCACTGTAATTAACTAAGGTAACATCTTTAATAGGTAGAAAGAAAAAAGTGATTATTTTATTGCCAAGATGATTACAAGAAAAGAAAGAAACAAAAATAGCATGAAGGAAAGAGCAACACTAGACTGAGGGCTTTGGGTAAGAGGTTGAGACTTAGTAGTGAATGCCCTGGGCCATCTTCTGTCAAAAGGGAGGGACAATCAGCAAAGGGAAATATGCAGTAGAGGCAAAATCTTGGTTAGTAAAAGAATCCTAAGAGAAAGCAAGAAGTCTCCTTCCTGAGCATCATGTTGGTGTCGGGAAGATGCACATAATCCCATTGCATGTCTTACACTTTTCAGCAATTAGGGCTCAGCATGAATTTAGAAGACACCATTCACTTCACAGCAGATGGGGACACAGTCAAGGCAGTGGTGAGAGGCAAGGCTGGGCTTTCAGTCTCAGAGCACAGAGCAGGTTCCCCACTACTCCGCACCCTGGTGTCTCCTCCCAGATGTTCCACCTCATTCTTGCCTTAAGGGCTCCAAGTTGTTAATGGGACAGTAGCCCTCTTCCTTTCCCAGGGTTTCTAAGAATTTGGCTCTCTTTTGTGTATTGCGGGGTTTGTTTGCCATCTAGAGGCAGGTTTTTGGCATGGCAACTTATAGGCTTTTTCTACTTGTGATAGCAAAAATAAATACATAAATAAATTCATCATAAATAATAAATTGACTTAATGCATTCAATCTGTAAAAAAAAATAAGGTCAGTTTGAGAGCTTAAAAGGAGCCTGATGAGGTTAAAAAGACAAATTACCTTTAGTAAAGAGCAGTTGGAGCAATAGATGATTCTTTCTTTAATCAATAACATTTTAGGAGTAACTATCAAATGGTAAATAAAACTTGAAATAAGAGGATAAACTATAATTTTATATGCAAAAAAATATTTCCAAGAACCATACAAATACATTTTCAGATTAAAACAAACAAAAAATGTGGGTTTATCATCATATCCGCTAAATGGAAGATTTCTCAAATGTGTGCTTGGAGCAAAAATAACACTTATCCCTATTTGAAAGTTCAAGATTTTTGAGTTTTCGAAGAAAACAGCTTTCCCTTCACTCTGTTCCACTCACGCTTCTGAGGATGGCCATGGGGCAAAAAGCCACGGCGGCGGGGGACAAAAAGCCGCGGCGGCGGGGGTGCAAAGAGCCGCCGCCGGTAAATAACCGCGGCACGGTGGGCGGGGGGGGGGGGGGTGGAGAGCGCAAAAAGCCGCTGCGGGCAAAAAGCCGCGGTAGCGCGGGAGCAAAAAGCCGCGGGGGAGCAAAAAGCCGAGGCCGGCAAAAACCCGCGGCGGCAGGGGGGCAAAAAGCCGAGGCGGCGGGGGGCAAAAAGCCGAGGTGCGCAAAAAACCGCGATGGTGGGAGCGGGGGGACAAAAAGCCGCGGCGGCGGGGAGCAAAAAGCCGCGGCGGGCAAATAATCGCGGCACCGGGCGCGGTGCGGGGGAGGGGGCGGCAAAAAAGCCGCGGCGACAAAAAGTCGCGGCGGCGGTGGTGAAAAAGCCGCGGCGGTGGTGGGGGGCAAAAAGCCGCGGCGACAAAAAGTCGCGGCGGCGGGGGTGAAAAAGCTGCGGCGGTCAGGGGGCAAAAAGCCGGGTCAAGCAAAAAGCCGCGGCGGCGGCGGCGGCGGCGGCGGCGGCGGCGGGTAAAAAGCCGCGGCGGGCAGAAAGCCGCGGCGGCGGGGGGGCAAAAAGCCGCGGCGGCGGGGGGCAAGAAGCCGCGGCGGTGGGGGGGCAAAAAGCCGGGTCCAGCAAAAAGCCGCGGCGGCAAAAAGCCACGGCGGCGGGGGTGAAAAAGACGCGGGGGGCAAAAAGCCGGGTCAGGCAAAAAGCCGCGGCCGGCAAAAAGCCGCGGCGGCGGGGGACAAAAAGCCGCGGCGCCGGGGGTGCAAAAAGCCGCGGCGGGCAAATAACCGCGGCACCGGGGGCGCCAAAAAGCCGCGACGGCGTGGGGGCAAAAAGCCGCGGCGGGCAAAAAGACGCGGCGGCGGGCGGCAAAAAGCCGCGGGGGCGGGGGAGCAAAAAGCCGCGGCGGCGGGGAGCAAAAAGCCGCGGGGGCAAAAAGCCGCGGAAGGCAAAAAGCCGCGGCGGCGGGGGTCAAAAAGCCGCGGCGATGGGGGGCAATAAGCCGCGGCGGCGGGCGGCAAAAAGCTGCGGTGGTGGGGGTGCAAAAAGCCGCGGCGGGCAAAAAGCTGCGGTGGCGGGGGGGCAAAAAGCCGGGTCGGGCAAAAAGCCGCGGCGGCAGGGAACTAAAAGCCGTGGTAGGCATAAACCCGAGGCGGCGGGGGGGGCAAAAAACCGCGGTGGGGAAAAAGCCGCGGCGGCGGAGGTGCAAAAAGCCAAGGCGCGCAAAAAGCCGCGGTGGTGGGGGAGGCAAAAAAGCCGCGGCGGCGGAGAGCAAAAAGCTGCGGCGATGAGGGTCAAAAAGCCGCGGCGGCGGGGGGCAAAAAGCCGCGGCGATGAGGGTCAAAAAGCCGCCGCGGCGGGGGGCAAAAAGCCGCAGCGGCGGGGGGGGGGGGGCAAAAAGCCGCGGCGACGCGGGGCAAAATAGTGGAGATGGGGTAGAAGGCCGGCACAGGTTGGCTTTGCTGGAGTGTGATGTGATAGGAAATGTGCAGCCAAAGACAAAAAAAGATGTAAGTAGGCTTGACTCATTGCAGCCAAGAACCCAGATGTTATCTTGAGGGTTTTAACTAATAAGCAGTTTAAATCAGAATGGCACATTCTGATTTGTTTTTTGTATATTCACATTTGGCAGGCATAGATACCGTTTGAAGAGAAAAAAGTCAGTAGATAGAGGTAACAAACTTAAATATGTGCCGAGTCTAGAAACAAGAGACTAGGGGGATAAGGACCTTTCGAAATAAAATGCAAGATTTGAAAACTGATTGGCTGGGGGATGAGGAAAAGGCAGGTCTTTAAGGTCAATCCCTGTTTTGCTTTAAGTTGTTAGGGGGTGGTTTTATCATATATTGTAGAATACGTCATTTCAGTTTTGAACATCTTGAGTTAAATTGTCCTAACATATCTTATGAATTTGATTTTCTTCCCTGGGAAGCTAATATTTCAAAAACTGAAAGAGTATATAGATTTCCAACTTGTATCCAATTTATAAAACTATCTCTAGGCTGCTGATTTCAGGAGGAGGCTCATGAATATTCTATTTGCAGAGAATATATCAGGAGTTAACATCAGCCTCAATATTTGTGGACGACCAGTTAACTAAGCCACCTCTTAGTGTATTTAGATGGGAAATCTTAGCTGAAGGTATTCAATAATGAACCAACAGTGACTAAAAAATTCAATATTTAAGTATATTTCATTGTAATTAATTTGAATTGAAGTAGCCATATACAGCTAGTATTTACTACATTGAACAATGCAAATAAGAGGAAAAAATTAATAACCATCTCTAATACCACATGCCAAAATCCTCATCAATTTATTCTAGCTAAAGGAGTTGATCAGAAGCAGCAGTTGAAAGCACCAACTAAACCAGCTGGGGTTAGTTCACTGTCATTCTCTCAGAACCATCTCTTCTCTGAACAAAACAAGTACAAGAGTTCATTGTGAATCTGCATTCTCCTTGCCTATTTTAAGGTTTTGATGTTGACACTAATTTGTGAAATCCCTCCTGTGGTGTGATATTTCGTTTTCCTTGCTTTTTGTTAGGACAAGAATGCTTCAGCTCTTAATTTAAAATTATGTTTCTCCCTCCTAGGTTGAGTGAACTTAGAATGCATTCTCTGACATATCCAAGTTTTCGTTAATATGAATTTGGGGAAAAAAGCATACTTAATTAGCTAAGACTTCTTATTCTAGGCTTGACCCTGTGTTCGACATCTATTGAATTTGTAGTTGCATGGGCTGCTCTCTGACACTGGTTACTGACCTGGAAGCTATATTAACGTTAGGGGAGGTGGTGTATGGGCATTAGAGGTATCCTTGCAAGGAAAGACTTGTCTTATCTCAATATGTCTTTTTTTTTGCACACAAGAAAGTCAGTGTTTGAGTCTTCTAAAATCTTCCTATTTCCAAGTTGCAGAGTACCATTGATTCCTAAACAAAGACCTAATTTTTGACTCAGAGACGTGGCAAGGTAGTGAATCACCATTATAATTTAACAATCTTCAAGATAAAATTATCTCTCTGATATTTAGATTTTGCCCAATTATTAAGATATTTGGGTGTTTCGTTAAGAATGGAAGACTCTAGTCTCTTGAGCAGAGACTATAAAGGCCTCAGATGATCATTTTTACTTTTATGCTCTTTTCTTTAACACCTTCAACACAGTTGGAAGCAGCCGATATTCCCCAGAGTTGTTGTGTTTTTTAAACCAAATGCATGGTTCAGTGGTAGAAAACTGGGCTGATCCAAGCTGTTTTCAGTAAACACTTCATTTCAGGTGACCTATTTCATATTAAATAATCTCTAGATCCTGTCTTCGAAACTAACTAGATCAGATAACCTACCCTGGATTTTCTCCTTTTAGGGTCTGTGAGCAGCAGTCACTTTTGTGAAAATGATCGCAATGACAAGATAGAGTTGTAGATGGGGAAAATGTTTTGACTAATTTAAGCATAGTGGTATTTCATATGAGAATTTAAGTTACACACATTTGAAAATTATAATGGAGTCTCTTGGCTGAGCTTTAAAAAAAAATAGCGTTTAGGCTAAACAGGGAACTGCTACCTCTCCTAAAATCAGAAAGATGTCACAGTAATTCTCCATTCTCTAGAATTATCAGGAAGCACCTTTGTGATGATTTACTTCTGTTCTTGGGAGTGTGAGCCCGTGTAGTCTTGGAACCATCAGTTAGAATGATGGCTTTCTGATCCCAAAGTCATTCGTTCTGAAAACAATATTTTTCATAAATTTGAAAGTGAGAAGTTTTGATCTTGCCACTCCCAAGTAACTCTCTTAATAAGAGGCATCAGCATGCTTCAGTGACAGCTGTCACTTTCCAGTGCTGAGAGTCGTCTTTGAGTTCTCCATTTCACTCCCTACACTCCAATTTAGCTGCAGTTCTCTTGGCCAGTCCTATGAAATACATCCATGGCCTAACGACTTCTCACCACTACTACCACTCATCCTGACAGCATTCTCACCTAAGTCACTACCTTTTTTCTCTGGATTAGAGTAGCCTCCCAATTTATTTGCTCACAAAACCTATTTATTCTACACGGTGCACCAGATACACCCCTTTGAAATGCAAACACAATCATGTTATTCTCTGGTTAAATTATCTCATATATTCCTATCGCATTTAAAATTAATTCAGAATAATCCCCTGATTATCAAAACCCTACATGCTCTTCCACAACATGGTTTACTTCCAAGATATCTCTTCAACTTTTTTTTCACTGTACTGAATTGGTGACTAAAAATCATATTTTTATTTTTGCTCAAAAAGTCTTGACTTGTAAATTTTTCAGTTTCTCCTTTATCCACAGGTAACTCTTTCCTCATAAGGCGAATTGCTTGCTTCCTTGAGTTCTGCTCTCAAAGACACCCTTCATTTTCTACCTAATATTAATAACTTTAATCATTCATTATTCCATTACTATGCTCTATAGTGTATACAATTTCTGTTCTTTGTCATGTTATTAACTAAATTATTTATTTGTTCCAGTAACGAATTCCATAAATAT
This sequence comes from Homo sapiens, assembly GCF_000001405.40. NCBI lineage: Eukaryota > Metazoa > Chordata > Mammalia > Primates > Hominidae > Homo > Homo sapiens. The sequence goes on from NC_000002.12 coordinate 92,046,869, forward strand.
TGTACACATAAAAATTATGTTATTTTTATTCCTGTATGCTCAGCTGCGCAATAACAGTCTGAGGATTAACATATTTGTTAAATGCACAAATACGTTCTTTCACAAATATTAGTTTAATAATTTTATATTAAGCTCCCTCTATACTTACAATATGAATTAGATAATTGAGAATAAGCATTCCAGTGGAAAAAAACTAAACAATTTGTTGTAAAACATCCTTAAAAGCATCAGAAAGTTAATACAGCAATGAAGAATTACAGGACCAAATTAAGAATGGTATGGAAGCCTGTTTGTGAGGCTTATGTTTGGGTTATCTCTTTACTTAGAGAGACTATAAATCTCAAAAGAGGATTAAAGGGAGAAATAACCATATCAACTCACATGGTAAGGGTATGCAAACATCTCTTAGTAATGGAGAAAATTGAAAGAAAAGAAAAAAGAGAAAGGGAGAAAGAGAAACAGAGCGAAAGGGATAATGAAGGAGAGAAAGAAGAAGAGAAGGGAAGAGGAAGAAAAGTAAAAAGGAGGAGGAGGGAGAGGGAGGAAGAAAGAAAGGTGAAAAGAAAGAATGCTAAAGTTTTCAACAACATAATTTATCCTTCCAGAATATGAATGTCGGTCTATTTGATGATGTCCCACAGATTCCTTAGTCTCTGCTCATTTTTTATCTGTTTCTCAGAGTCAATATTTTCCATTTTCTTATCTTCAAGCTCATGACTTCTTCTGTGTATGCAAATATACTCTTAAATCCCTCTGGTGATTTTTAAATTTTTATCGTTGTAGTTTTCCACTCCAGAATTTCTGCTATCTCTGTTGATATTCCTACTTTTTAATATTTTTTCTGAATCCTTTATTTCTTCGTTTATGTTTTCCTTGTGACATTTGAGTATAATTAAGAGAGTTGTTTTAAAGTCTTTGTCTAGTAAGTTTGAAGTCTGGGTTTCCTTAGAGATATTTTCTGTCAGTTTGTTTTGTTCCTTTGAATGAGCCATACTTTCCCGTTCTTTGTATGCCATGTAACTTTTTTTGAAAACTGGGCATTATAATAATTATAATTACTATGTGGTTACTCTGTGAATCAGACCCTCCCCCACAAACACAGTAATGTTTTGGGGTTTTAAATTTTCTTTACTTATTATATTGTTAAGGATTTTTTTTTTTTAGTGAAATTTTCCAAAGTGATTTACAAAACTGTTTGCTTTATAAGGTGTGGTCACGGAAGTCTTTTTGTTTCCTTAACAAATGTTAAGCTAATGTTTTGACAGTGATTTTCTTGTATGTCAGGAAGTAAGCAAACAGGCAAATACAACAAAAACAAAAAGAAAAACAAGTAATCATTGTCCAGCAAAATATGTCTCTAGGCCATGCAGACTGGCTTTGTGCTGGGTTCTTTAAAGCCGGCACAAAGTGTGTGTTCACTCTTGCACTGAGTGAAGTTCAAGTTCACTCTTGCACAGAGCTTGCACTGAGGGGAGGGATCGGCCAAGGTAAAAGTGTAGGGTCTTCTTATGACATTTGTCAGCATGTGGCTTAACCTATGCATGCATGTGACTTTCTAGACTCTCCCATGTACGTGAATGATTTTGAATGTCTTAGTTTTCCAAATACTCTTCTCCAACTTTTCTTCCTGTGCTGAAGATGATCTACTATATGTGTAAACTCTAATTTTTGCCCTAAGCATCTGTGGTTTGTTAGGTCTCCTTGCAGAGTCTCTCGATAATGTCCATTCCTTATCTGATCTGTATTCTAGCAACACAGAAAAACAAAAGCCTTTCATGAGTCCTTTAGGTATCCCCCAGACCAGTCAGAACAGACACATAGTAATTTGCAGGTAAGATCTTCTCTTGTTCCTTTGGACCATGGACCAGTGTTCCTCACTGGGAACGTGGGCTTCTGCCACTTCAAAACTGCCAATTTGCTGGGGCAAAGGCAAGTTAAAAATGTCATAAAGTTTTCAAGTTGTCTTTTTCTTGAGTCTGCTTTCACTCGGTTGTTGTAATCTTTAGACTATTTTCCAGAGTTTTGACAAAGTTTATTCAGACAGTTTCTCTTAGTTGTGTGATGTTTCTGTGGGGAAATGACAGATTGCAGCTGTCTCCACTGTCATTTTGCTGATGCTCCTCTTTTGTCAATTTTTGCTTCGTGTTATTATGCTTTGTTATTAGTTCATGTATTAGTTTTCTAGGGCTGCCATAACCAAGTAACACAAACTGGGTGCCATGAACAACATACATTTATAGTCTTATAGTCCTGGAAGCTAAAAGTCTGAGATTGAGGTGTCAGCAGGGATGGTCCCTTCCAGGGCTATGAGAGAAAGCCTGTTCTATGCCTTGTTTCTCACTTCTGATGGTTTAGTGGCAGTCTTTGGCATTCCTTGGCTAATCTCTGCCCTCATAATCACATGGTACTCTCCCTGTGTGTATGTCTCCCTCTACTCAAATTTCTTCTTTTAATAAGGACATCAGTCATACTGAATTCAGGCTCATCTGATTGTATCTTAACTTGATCAGCTGCAAAGAACCTATTTCCTAATGAGGTCATATTCAGTGGTTGGAATTGCAGCATCTATATAGAGGAAACAATTTAGCTCATATCTGTGCATACATGATTGTAATAGCTATGTCTTCCTAAAGCGTTGACCCCCTTTTTACTACAATATAAATTTTTAAAATCCTATTCACATTTTTAATAGTCTATATTGTGTGTTATGAGTATAATGAGTTCAGTGTTCTTATGATTGCTCTTTGCATGATATTTTTTTGTCATCTTTTTACTTTCAATCCATTAGTATCCTTGCATCTCAGCGTATATTGGGATCACTTGTTTTAATCCAGTCTGACAATCTCTGCCTCTGGAATGGATTTTAATCTGCTCACATTTAAGATTATAATGGGTATAATTCTATTTATGTCTGCCATTTTACCGTTTGTTTTATATATTTCTCAAATATTTTTCTTTATTGCTTTATTTTGCAATGAAAGAATATTTTCTAAAATAGGGAACTTTAGATTACTAATGAATTATTTTATTATATATTTTTGAGAATGTTTGTTGTTGTTGTAAGTTTACCATATAGGTATATGGAAAATTAATTATTCAAATCATCTTCCAATTTATACTAGTAAACTTTTAGTAATACATAGAAACATCATTCTTATATAAATCTCTTTTATTTCCTCCATTTTAAAGTATTATCACTTTACACATTACATCTATTAAAGTTACAAAGCCAACAATACATTTTAGTAATTATTACTTTACCATCTAGAGTGATTACCTTATCACAATACATTTTTCTTCCAACTACCTCCTTTTTGATGTTACTGGAAAATATGTTATAGACGTATTACATTTCTACATGTCAAAAACTCAGCAATACATTATGCACATATTATTATTATTATCATTGAGACGGAGTCTCCCTCTGTCACCCAGGCTGGAGTGCAGTGGCACAATCTCCGCTCACTGCAAGTTCCATTTCCCAGCTTCATGCCATTTTTCTGCTTCAGCCTCCCGAGTAGCTGGGACTACAGGCGCCCGCCATCACGCCCGGCTCCTTTTTTGTATTTTTAGTAGAAATGGGGTTTCACTGTGTTAGCCAGGATGGTCTCGATCTCCTGGCCTCGTAATACGCCCGCCTTGGCCTCCCAAAGTGCTGAGATTACAGGTGTGAGCCATCGTGCCCGGCCATTATACACATGTTATTTAATAAACAATTTATGATAAAGAGAAAAAATGCATTTTTACTGTCTTTTATAATGTCAATATTACCTATACCAGTGCTTTTTTAAAAATGTGGATTCAAGTGACTGTCTTCTGTAACTTGCTTTTAGCCTTAGGAATTTATTTTAGAGTTTTTTTTTTTTTAATGTGGTAGGTCTGCCAGCAACAACTTCAGCTAATATTTCTGTTTATCTGGGTAAGTCTTTGTGTTATCTTCATTTTTGAAAAATAATTGCTGGATAAGGAATTCGTGGCTGAGAGTTTTTTTTCCTTTGCATCTTTTGAATATATTATTCTACTGCCTCTTGCCTTCCATTGTTTCTCTTAAGTCAGCTGTTAATCTTACAAAACATAGGTGCTCAAAAAATAAACATGTGCATGAATATTTACAGCAGTAATATTCATACAGTCAAAAAGTGGAAACAATCCATATGCTTGTTGACTCATAACTGGACACCAAATTTTCAGCTATAACAAAGAATGAAGTACTTATATATGGTATAATATTGGTGAAATTTGAAAGCATTATGTTAAGTGCACAAAAGGACAAATATTGCTTGATTTTATTCACATGAAACATCAGGAATTGGCAAATCAATTGGGATGTAAATTAGATTAGTGGTCATTAGGGCTCAGGGAAGCAGAATAGGGTGTAACCACTTTATGCATAATGGGATTTTGGAAGGGACATGATGAAATTGCCCTGGAACATTGTGAATATACTAAAAGCAAGTGCATTGTATGCTTTAAAATGGTTGTTATTAATTTTATATTATGTGATTTTTACCCTAAAAAAAGAGAAAATAGCCTTACTCTATACATAATAAACTCAAGATATGTTACAAATTTACATGTGAAATCCGAAATACTATAATATTTAAGGAATAGCTAAGTAGAATAACACTGAAATTTAACATAATGAAACATTTCCTTAAAAAAGAAAAAAAGCACAGTAATTAAAAAGGAAAATAATATTTTTTCTCTCCATTAAGCATGCCATTAACTGAGTATAAAATCAAGCTGCAATTATGTAAACTACATTTTCTAAAACCATAAAGAAAAGAAGAAATAAAAAGGTATTTGGGAAAAAAATCCAAAGGTACAGTCAACTACACAAAAAAAGCTTAGTCTCATTAATCATTATGGAAATGCAAATGGTAACTGAAAGAAGATAAAACTACAATTCAAAGAGAAAGCCTAAAATTTCAACCCCCCAAAAAGTCTGGGTTTTGGAGATCTGGGATGGAATAGGGTTCCTAACCTGACAACAATGAAAGAACCAAACTAACTTCAAAGTCATGACTTTATTTTTATAGCAACGAGGTTGCCAAGAACTGAGTCAAAATGTGAGGGAAAACAAGCACCTGCAAGGAGAAAGAGGACAGATGCACTTACATAGGACAGATGCAAATAGACACCACTATGACAAGTAAAGCTGGAATAATCAATAAATTCCTAAAGACAAAGTGGGGCTGGTCAGATTGGGAGACCGCTGACAGCTGCAAAAGTTGGGAAAGATCCATCATCTTGAAAACTTTTTCTCCACAAACCCACTATGATCTCTCAAGCAATTGGTAAGGAATCCAAGAGAGTCTGTATATGATACAGATCAGGGAGAGCAGAACACTTGGGAGGTGACCAGGTCTTGGGGGCCGAGCCCTTATGAATCGGATTAGTGCCTTTATAAAAGAAGCTCAATGGAGTTCTTGTGTGCCTTCCACTGTGTGAGGACATAGAAAGAAGGCACCATCTATGAACCATGAAATGGGCTCTCATCAACACTGAATTTGGGAGCATCTTGACCTGAGATCTTACAGCCTCAAGAAGTGTGAAAAAAGAAATATCTGTTGTTTTTTAGTCACCCAGTTTATGTTATTTTGTTATAAGAGTCCAAATAGACCAAGATATTCCACTTAATATGTAGGGGAAGGCAACAAAAACTGCCACACTTAGAATACTCCTGATGATTGGGAGTATGAAAACAGGAAAAACAAAACAAAACTGCTCTTGAAGGTGAAGGAGGAATATCACTGAGCTCACCAACACAGCCAGGAAAAGAACAGAAGTGTGAGAAGGCTACATTCCTGAGACCCTGAGAAAAAGTACCTGCATAAGACAGAGATGAAATTACCTACTCTAGTTATGATTGAAATCCCAAAAAGAAAACAGGGAAAAATAGTGGAGCAAAAGAAATATTTTTCAAAATAACTGCCAAAAATATTCTAAAAGAAGTGACAGAAAATCAAACTTCAGATATAGAAAACTCAGAGAATGTCAAATAGAACAAAAAGAAATAAGAATTCCATCTTGAAACATCTTTGAAAAATCTTTAAAAAATCAAGTCTAAATTTTATATCTTGCTCCAAATATATAGAGATATAAATAGGTTATCATCAAGATATGGAGAAAGCCATATCATGGAAACACTAAAATAAGGCTGTGGAAGGACTACATTGATATTAGACACAACAGAGTTCGGAACAAGAAATAGTATCAGAGATGAGAGATAATAGATAATAGAATAATCAATTCTCAAGAAGATGTAAACATCCTACTAATTAGGGTATGCAGCTAACAACAGAGCCTCCAAATACGTGAGGTAAAACATGAAAGAAATCAAAGGTGAACTAGAAAAATCCAAAATTATATTTGCAGACTTCAACACTTTCGTCTTAGTAATGGAAAGACTAGGCACAAACTCAGTAATCATGTGGAAGATAAGAACAACAATATCACCAACAAGACATCCAATCTTCAATGGCAGATACTCTTTCCTTTCAAGTGAAAAAAAAAAAACAGTATGGCATATTCTCTAACAAACACAGAATTTCTAATATTTGTGGTTTTCCTTCCTTCTTTCCATCTTCCTTTGTCTTCTCTTCCCTTCCCTTGCCTTCTTCCTTCCTTTCTTCTTTTCCTCTTCCTTTTCTTTTCTTTTTTCTTTTCCTTTCTTTCTTTTTCTTTTTTCTCCTTCCTTCCTTCTTTCCTTCTTTCTTTCTTTCCTCTTATTCTTCCTTCCCTCCTCCCTCCCTTCCTTTCTCCCTCCCTTTTCTTCCTTCTTTTCTCATATTCTTTCTTTCTCACGTTCTTGCTTTCTTTCCTTTTTTCTCCCTTCCTCCCGCCCTCCTTTTCTTCCTTCCTCCCTCCCTTCCTTTCCTCTTTTTCCTTCCTTCCTTCCTTTGCCTCTTTATTTTCTTTGTTTCTTTGCCTTCCTCCCTTTTACCATTCTCTCTTCCTCCTTTTCTTCCTCCCTTCCTCCTTTCTTTCTTTCTCTCTTTCTCTTTCTTTCTTTCTTTCTTTCCTTCCTTCTTTCTTTCTTGTGTTCATGTTTTCTTTTTTCTCCCTTCCTGCCTTTCTCCCTTCCTCCCTCCCTCCCTTCCTTCCCTCATTTCCTCCTTCTTTTCCTTCTTCTTTCTTTCCTTCCTTCCTTTCCTTCCTTCTTTTTCTTTCTTTGTTTTCTTTTCTTTCTTTCTCTTTACTACAATTCATATTATTTTAAAAAAATTAAGACAGGGAGACAGAAAAATAAAGAACGCTTTAATCTGCAGGTTAAATAGATTATGTCTGCTGTAGGCAAAAGAATGGCCTCCCAAAAATTTTCATGTCCTAATTCCCAGAGTCTAACATACAAATATGTTAGGTTGCACGGCAGTGTGAAATTAGATTTCAAGTGAAATTAAGGTTGCGGAAAAATGATAGAGAGATTGTCTTAAATGGGTGGGATCAATGAAATCACAAACTTCCTTATAAGTGAAAGAAGAAGACAGAAGAAAGGCAACCTTGTAGGTGGTGGCATGAGAAATTACTCAACATCACTGACTTTTAAGATACAAGAATGAGGACCCAGCGCAGTGGCTCACGCCTAATCCCAGCACTTTGGGAGGCTGGGGTGGGTGGATCACGAGGTCAGGAGATCGAGACCATCCTGGGTAACATGGTGAAACCCCATCCCTACTAAAAATACAAAAAATTAACTGGGCATGGTGGCAAGTGCCTGTAGTCCAAGCTACTCAGGAAGCTGAGGCAGAAGAATCACTTGAACCCGGGAGGCAGAGGTTGCAGTGAGCTGAGATCATGCCACTGCACTCCAGCCTGGGTGAAAGAAGGAGACTCCATCTCAAAAAAAAAAAAAAAAAAAAGAAAAGAAAAATAGGATATAAGAATGAGGTCATGTTCCAAGGAATAAAGGTGGCCTCTGGATGCTGGAAAAAATCAAGTAATAGATTCTGCCACATAGCCCTCAGAAAGACTGCAGCCCTGCCCAAAACTTGATGTTAACCCTGTGAGTTTCATTCAAGTCTTCTGAACTACAGAACTGTAGGATTAACGGTCACTTTATTGTAAGATATGAAGTTTGTGGTAATTGGTTACAGCAGCAAGAGGAAGTTTATATTGTAATTGTATCATGAAAATGAGAACCATAATTTACAACTGCTTTTAATACTGCACTTGGATGTTTGAAATCACGTACATGGAAATGATCTCTATGTGCATGAGGGAGGATAGCAAATTGATGCCAAAATAATGCAAATGCAAATCTTACACTCATTTCTATGTAGGTTTCATTTAATCTTTGAAATTAAAATGAAATTAAAAGATTGTGATATTTTGATGAAGTTAGACTAAAATGAACAATAACAAAATAAGAACTCACTTATATTCTTTATATGGTCAATAAAGAAGTGATAGTGGAAAAAAACAAGATCAAATGAAGGTGATGATTTAGGAAGTTGGAAAGATAGCTGAAACTACAAAATGGTATATAACCAGTGAACACTTAGACACACTGATTGATGAACTTCAGCTTTTGGCTTGGTGAGAGCATAAAATGAGAGCAGCTGAGGTTTGCAAATTTGTAATCTCCTTGTGGAAAAACAGGGGAAAACACATCTCAGCCTAATAAGATTTATCTACTAAAGAGTCTAGACTTGATCCATTTGTCCTTGTAATTCAAAAGCTAATTCAAATACTGATTTGATGTATTGTGTGAACAACCATTGCTGATTATCATTGCATACCTGGCATTCTCTTTTATCTGATATCTAAAATATTTGGTAATTCCTGGACTTTCTCTTTTCAAACCCAGTACGGTTTAATTGGAGTCTTAGAACAGTTGTCTTTGAGAAATTCTTCCCTCTACTGCATCTGTGAATGGGCATAGCATGGTTACATACATACTGTCACTCCATAGAACATTTGTTAAATTAAAGCCAAAGTTTAAAGCAAGAGCTTTAACTTACTGGTTTTACTAATGTTTTCCTCCCCAATAGCCACAACAATATTGATACACTCACACCTTTTAACATAAAGCTTGGTGTTGTCTATTTTTCAGGTGCTGTCATCTATATGATCTCAGTATTTTAAAAATCAGCTTCCAGCCCATATGGTGGCACATGCTTGTAATACCAGCAGTTGAAGAGGCTGAAATGAGAGGATTCCTTGAGCCCAGGAGTTCAAAAGCAACCTGGGCAACATAGAAAGACCCAGTCTCTATCAAAAGTTAAAAAAAAAAAAAAAAAGTGGGCATGGTGATGTGCACCTGTTGTCCTAGCTATTTGGGAGGCCAAGGTGGAAGGATTGCTTGAGCTTGGGAGGCTGAGGCTGCAGTGAGCAGTGATTGCACCACTGCACTCCAGCCTGGGCAACAAAGCAAGACCCTATCTCAAAAAATATATATAATAAAAATAAAAATCAGCTCTCATTGATTTCTATGTAAATATGCACAGGTGATGTCCATATAGACATAAATAATAATATTTCTGACAATGGGTCCATATGATCTTCAAAATGTAAAATGCCTATCTGTGTAATTGACTGGTTAGTCTCATTAATGAATATAGATTCAATTCTACTTTCTTGTTCTAGATAAATTATATAATCTAGCTTTTCATTTCACTTATTTACTGATAACAACAGGAAGAATGACAAGATATCTATTTTGGAAAATTACTCTGGTAGGAGTAAAGATGAAACAGTGATAGAATTGCACGGAAAACTAGAAAAAAGTATGGTCTTCTGATATTCTATCACTTCACATACTAAAGGCCTCATAAAACTCAGATATTTTATCTAAAAATGTTATTTTCATCATAGGAATGATCAAAGCATGAGACTACAATTGTATTAAAATGTGCTTGTATCACAAGCACAGGTGCTAAAAAGGAGGGGAAAACATCCTTACTGATATTTTCAACGTATGTTTTACTTTTCATCAACATGAACCTCAACTTGATATGATGCAGATTGAAGGAAATCACCCATAATTCCATATGAAGAAGGCCTGTGATATTTTATGGGAAAATAAATAGAGAAAATGCTAACAGAAACCCTATTAAGCACGAAGCTTTATGGAGCAAACACAAATCCAGTGGTGAAAGATACACACTCGAGTTCTGTTTGTTGTCTTGGAACAATACGGTTTAGAGGTGACTGGCGGGTGAGGAGAACATATGCGAGTTCACCAAAGAGAAAAGGTGAATGAGGCAATGCCTCTTCCTGACCATATCTCTTACTCAGATAACTATATAATTTATTGTCCAGTAAAGGGTATATTAAAAAATCATATTAAAAGTCATGCAGTGAAGTTGTCCAGGGAAATCAAGACTTAACAGTCTCACTCTGACAATAATGAACAGGGGGATTCCCTCAAGATAGACTAGGACATGACCCCACACTGGCAGGTAGTAGTACCAGAAAAGAACCCATGGAAAATCTTTACCTTATGCTTGAGGTAGGGACCAGGCTAAAGTGAAAGCCAGACCTACAATTCTATCTAAAATAAATCCACAATCGAAGAAAATATGTGGTGTACAGGCATAGAATGTCTTTACTGGATCATTGAAATAGTAAGATAAATTCAACTTTTACATTGTTTTCTTTTCCTCCAGTTAGGGCTTGAGGTTTGTCTCTGGAGAGTGACCATCAATTGGAGCCCTGCCTTTCTGGGGTTCTGGTCAGGGGGTTGTGGATGCTTAACATGTGCCTTTCACAGGACACTTCCTTACCCCAGCAGTGGCCAGGTGTGCATCCCACGACCAGGCCTCCCTCTCACAGAACATCTGTTGAGACTAGGAGATGCCTGGTGACTGTTGCCTGACCTGTGTCCTGTGTATTTCTGACAAGAGCCACTCTCAGAGACCCTGGCCAGGAGGAGAGTTAGGTTCCAGTGTAGGTCAGCTCAGACACATGGAGGCCACAGAACCAAACATGGGAAATCACAGAAGTAGGTTTATTACTCACAGATCCAGAGAGAAGAGGGTAGCTGAGGAGAGGGTTTAGCTGTGTCCCCAGCCAAATCTCATCTTGAATTCCCACATGTTGTGGGAGGGAACAGGTGGGAGGTAATTGAATCATGGGGGCAGGTATTTCCCATGCTGTTCTTCTGATAGTGAATAAGTCTCACAAGATCTGATGGTTTTATAAAGAGGAGTTTCCCTGCACAAGCTCTCTTGTCTTGTCTGCTGCCATGTGAGACGTGCCTTTCACCTTGCGCCATGATTGTGAGGCCTACCCAGCCATGTGGAACTGTGCATGTATTAAACCTCTTTCTTCTAGAAATTACCCAGTCTTGGGCATGTCTTTACCGGTGGTGTGAAAATGGACTAATACAGTAGCACACCTCATAGGGCTGAACAAAATGGGGAAGATGAGTGGGGAGCAGGAGAGAGAAAAGGGGTCTGTGGGACTCTAGCTTTTATTGGGCCCAGAACATTACCCAAATAAGTTTTCCACGGGGCACTAGTCGGTGGGGTGAGTGCCAGCAGGCACATTTCTTGACTCCCGCTGCAACCGAGCAGGTCACTCTGGCGTGTGGGGGCTGTCCATGTGCGCTGTGAGGTCTGTGGGGTGAGTCAGGTAGGTTGTATCCAACGGTTCCATAGCTGGTAGTCACCAGGAGGGAGGCAACTGTGTAGGGTCAATATCTGGGCCAGCCACACTGAGGAACTGTGAGGGTTAGAACTGGAAATTGTCAAGGGAATCTGAACCCAGCTACCATATGAGAGAGTTCAACTTATGTTCAATGTGAATGCCATGGCAATATTAAAAGGTAAGAATTCGCTCCATACGTGCTTGAGGTAAATAGGAGAAACCTAGAATTTATGTAAACAGTGAGAAGATTGGATGCCTTTTCCGTCACATATTTTAATACTAGCAGCATATTATATATGTCAATCCATCAGGCATTCAGAAATACATGCTTATGAAAATTTTTTGCACCATCAGACAAAAGACAAGGGTAGAAGACATTTGTAACCCTATAAACACTAGTAAATTAAAAACAGAAGGACCTTTATGTCCTAACATATCTGCGTTGTGAAAGGCTGCCCTGTAAAATACGGGATTTCTTAAACATATTTTAAAAATCATAGGTGTCAATATTTTTTAGAAACCCATTTAAATTTTCTCTTGCTATTTTACAATGCCTATTTATTTATTTAGTGGCTCTGCTGATTTTGATGTATATCCTAAACTTTATATTTTCTTTAAAGGATGTTTTATACAACTTTATGTAAAATGTTTCAGTATCTTCACATTCTCTCCCTGTCCTTTTGTTTTGTTCCTATATGGTGGTCTTGAGTCTTTTCTGTGGCTTTTCAAACCTAGTAAGACTAAGACACTAAAGTAACTTTGCCCGTGGTTTGGTAATGCCTTCTAAAGCACATCCTAATCTCCCGTGCATACAGGGGTCTCCTTTGAGCTCTGCGCTTTTGAGATCCCATATACCTAAATTCCAGTACTCCAAATCAGTACTGCTCAGTTTTAGTTACTATGTTTAAAAATGTATTTTAATAGCAAGTTAGTTTAGTGCACTCTTGCTTCTTTCTTGACTGCTTGTGTACATGTATATTCCTTTAAATGAATCTTGGAAATTATTTAAAAATTTTAAATTATACTAATGAAACTGTATATTGTGAATTCATAAGTGAATTTGGAAAGAATTTGTCTTTATGGTACTAAATCCTTTTTATCCACGAATCATATGTGTCTTTATATTTATTCGTCTATATTTATATTACTGAGTGTATATATAGAAATGTAGATACATACAGCTGTAGTTATAGATACAAATATAGATATAACATGTTAAATCTATATCTATCCCATATAACATATATACATGTTATATGTGTGTGTCTATATATATATATATATATATATGTTTATGTTATTAAAGAGCTCCCTTAAAATTTTTCTTTTATTTCCTATATAATTTTAGGTCGAGCTTGAATTTTCCTTGTATAAACAAGCAAATATTTATACTAGTTTTAATACTGATGTTTAGACATTGTATCTTATTTTAGCATTGAATATTTTCACAATTATTATAAATATTATCTAATATTAATAATGTACCTGTTAAAAATATTTAAAATTTTACCTTTGAATTATTTTATTGTTGAATTAAAATTCCTTTAATATGATAGTAAATTTCTATTTTATGCTTTCTCTTTGCATATGCAAATTAATCTATCCACTTCTCTATCTCTAAGTAGTAACATATGAAAATCAGGCCTCTATTCTTCTAATGAACATACACGTTTGCATATAGAATATCAGACTCTTTATAGCATTTAAAATCTTTAAAGACATGAATATTGCCTTTTAACAAATATATTTTAGCATGTACTGAGAATCCCCTATTTATTTTTAATTTGGGCTAATCAATATGATTGTTAATATTATTGGATTACCAAATTTGGAAACACACTTTCATCCCCAAGGTGGATATTTGTTGTTTTTTTTTTTTTTTTTTTGCCAATTTCTTGTCTTACTGTTTCAAATATTGTTGGATATTATTTTTATTTTATTTGGCATTTTAGTATCAACATTCGTAATTGATGTACTCTATATATTTTTTCTTCAATATCTGGTGAGTTTTATAATTACTGCTATATTGGATTTGTAGTAGACATTGACAAAAATTATTCCTGTATATTTTATAGCTGTATGAGGGAAACTAATATATTTTACCCCTAAATATATTTCCTTGATATATTTCAAAATGGCTATTGAGAAGGGCTGGAAATGCAAACTTAGCTGCAAAGCTGTCTTGGGGAGCTTTGCATCGGTAGAGAATCTGCCTTGATGCAGCCAGGCTTTCTCTGAGGTCTGCCCCCTTATCTGGATCTAGGAAAGGTTAACTGAGAGTCTGAGGTCTCCAAAGGTCTGAAAGAAACATTTTTTCTCTATTCTCTCTGAGGACTGCTCCCAGTGAGATTCCACCTGTGTAATAAGCCCACTGTTGCTAGCCAGGGTCGTTTTCTCACGTAACCTTGTTTTTTTTCCCTGTGATCCAAGACCCCATTCTTTCTGTAAACTTCATATGGTAGATAAGCTTCTGCACACATCGTGTGTCTGGGTCTTCGTTCTAAGGGCTCCAGTGTACACACATTGCAGAAACCTGTATGCCTTTTCTACTATGTATCTGCCTCCTATTAGTGATTTTCAGGGAAACTTCAGAAGGCAAAAGGGACATTCTCCTTTAGCTCATTCTCAGACAAAATCCCCCAACATTTAACTGATTCCTAATAGCTTAAAATCACTTTGAAAAATCCATATATTTATAACCTTTTCTTCCCTCTATGATTTCTGGTCAGCTTGGGTTTTGTTTTTCATTCCATTTACTTCATCCTCGAAAAGATCTATTTTACGTCTATTTATTCTCATTTATGGACATTGAGAAAAGAAAATAACTTTCATGTGAGAAATGCAAGTCCTTTTAAATAATCAGGCCCAGAGAGATATTCAAATGAGACGGCAGTTCTGTCCTGCTCCTCTTTGAGCTGTGTGTTCATCTAGGCTGCTTGCTGTTGCCACAGTAGCTATAAATTAACCAATAACGCCACTCCAGACACTATAATACACACCCAATAATAGTGTAACAGCGTATAGCCAGTCACTAATAAATGTTATTTCCATAAGCCAATGAGAATTTGTGACAAACCTCTTTGGATCATCCCACTTCTGGACCCTTTTTTGCCTTTAAGAAACTGCTTGTTGCAAAGCTCCAAAGGGAGTTCATATCCAAGGATACTTGGGTCTGTTTCTTCCAGGCATCTGTCCTCATTGTGGATCAAGTAAACTCTTTGAATTACGTTTTGTGCTTCAGCCCCTTCCACTTAGATTAACAACATGGATTTGTGTCACCATGTACGGCAATTAAAATGTTCACACTTTTCCCCTCGAGGGCACTGATGTGTTTTCCTGAGCATTTGGAATAGCTACGTAGTGTTTACTGTCTAGATTATGGTTTCTCAGCCTTGGTGCTACTTACCTTTAGGACCAGAGGATTCTTTGTTGTGGGAGGCTGCCCTAGCAATGCTAGGTGTTTCGTTTGACCTCTACATTTCACACCTCCACCAGTCTTGACATCCCCACAATAACCCTAGACATTGACAAATGTCTCCTGGGGAAAACTCTCCACCAGTTGACAGGCAAAGTTCTGGAAATATTGGAATTGTCAATTGAGATTTTATGTTATCCAAAACAAATATTTTTCTTTGTTTTTAAACATCTACTTCCATCTACTTATCTACTTATTTTTATTTTTATTGGTAACTTAATTCCATCAAGGAGAGAGAGTGCATTTTCTGTTATGCTAAATTTTTGAAGAATGTATTGATTTTTTATGACCTGATATATGGATGATGTGTAGATATTACATTTTTGTATTATCAAATTTCAGGGTGATAATAAAATAAATACTTATAATATTTATATTGTCACTGTATATTAGTTATTTTCTTTCTTCACTACAGGAGTTTTTCAACCTATAGGCTATTTTTCAATTCTAGGTTATCCAGTAGATTTTGAAATGTTATGATTAAATATCTACTTCTCAAGCATTCATCTTTGCAAATAAAACAATCCCAAGCTCTTATAATGCACATCATATAAAGGGCAGAATAGTCAACATATGGTTCAGAAATAATTATGTAATATTTATAATAAAATTAAAAATTTAGATCCTTAACTCAGGTAACAATAATCCAAGTTAAAATTTGATTTCATTACATAATTTAAAATGACACCAGAATACTAGTAAAAATGTAGATTAGTTTATATCATCTTTTTTAGCTGTAAGACTTTATTAGCATAAATTCAAATACAGGAACCAAAGTAAGATTGAGACCTATAGTCAAAGGTTAAAATGTACACATTATAGGGGCATGATTAAACTAATTTAAAGCATAATAACATGGAGAAATATTGCAAAACATACATTTTACTGAATGAATTGTTAATATCTAATCATTATGTGAGAACAAAATTAAAGAGTAGCTACACAGACACACACCCACACACAAGTGCAATATTGTCAAATAAACGATGTTCAGCTACACTAGCAATCACACATGTGTTTTCTCCACAGAAAAGATTAAAAATCACAATAATATTTATTGTACATGTGGAGGTAAAGATACTCAAAATATTACCCTAAAATGTATTTTTTTTTGAGATGGAGTTTTGCTTTTATTGCCCAGGCTAGAGTGCAATGGCACAATCTTGGCTCACTGCAACCTCAGCCTCCCAGGGTCAAGTAATTCTCCTAGCTCAGCCTCCCAAGTAGCTGAGATTACAGGCATGCGCCACCACAATGGGCTAATTTTTGTATTTAGTAGAGACGGGGTTTCACCATGTTGGTCAGTCTGGTCTCCAACTCCTGACTTCAGGTGATCTACCCACTTCAGGCTCCCAAACTGCTGGGATTACAGGCGTGCGCCTGGGCAGCTTTTTGACATATTTCAAGATGGCTACTCGGAAGACTGGAGATAGCATCTTCTACAAGAATAGCTGAAAAGCTGTGTTTGTTGGGTAGATTTGCTTTTGTAGAGAAAATCTGCATTGATATAGACAGGCTTTCCCTGAGATACTCCCTTGTCTGGGTTTAGGAAAGATTAACTGAGCCTGGCACGTTTACATTTCTAAAAACCATTTCCTATCTATACTTCCCAAGAGGAGGGCTGCTCCCTTTGAGGTTTCATCCATGTAACAAGACCACCTCTGCTGCCAGGCTCCTCTTTCTTCCTTGTCGTCACCTGTCTTCCCCAAAGCCTGATTTACCAACCTACAGCTCTGTGTTTTCTGTAACCTCAAGACAGCATAGGCGTGTTGACTACCTTGCCTTTCCTGGAGTTTTTATATATATAGTATATATTTGTATATCTATTTATAATATACAAATATTGTATAGATATATTTATATATATTATGTAAACTCCAAGTGCATACTTGTGCACATATCTGTAAACCTTTTTTTCCTGTTAATTTGTACATTATCAGTTTGTTTTATAGACTCAAATAATTAAAGCTTCAAGGGAAAAATTTAAACTTTCCTATAGAGAAAAGACAAATATATAGGTGACAAATAATATTTAGAGTGTAAGACGCTTTTTAAAGGTATATTTGCAATTTGTGTCAAAAAATTTAAATATACATTTGTTATTTTAACTATAAAATTTCAAATAATTTAAGCCAAATACATAGTATATGCAGAAAATTTAGCAATATATCTATGTAGCACCTTACTGTGCATTACTGTAACCAGCCGTCTAATATAAAGAATTAATTAAGGTAGCACCTACTTTTCAAATAGCGCATTTTTTCACAGACCTATTAAATAAGACAAATAACATTTAAACTTTATTTTTAAATGTGCAGAATAGTAGTTTTCGGCAGATGGTTTATTTTAGCAAATTCCATCTTCACATTGTGCTATGCTTTTATGAGTTCCAGCTGTTAACGGATATTTTACTGCTGAAACTATCATGTGTGATATAATTGCTCATTACGTGCCTTAAAACACAAGCAGTATAATTATTTTCAACTTGGAGCAAATTAAAATCTTATCAGCGATTTAAAAACTGTAGAGTCGTCTTCTTCTGGTTAATTATTTTAAACTTGTATTTTTCTCTTTATGTTTTTAGTGAGTTGTCTTATCAAGGAGAAGAACTCAAGATGATTATTCTTTTTTTCTCTTCCATCCACCTCGCAGGTGTGTTAATAATTTCATTTCTCAGAAAATGTTCTTTCATATCCATCTTACAAGATGAGAGACTTTTTAACATCTTCCATTCGGATGTGATACCAGTAATGGAAAATATTCCAGCCTCATGAATATGGTGATACAAATAGTTATCCGTCTATCCTCTTTCAGTGTCAAATGTTTACTTTACTCAGTGAATTACTCAGTTGACTGGTAATTTCTTCTGAAATCACTAATGAGAAGATCAGAGGTCTGGCTGTTGTCTGTACCTCATATGACTCCCAGTACAGACAATTGTTTCTATGGAGCACAGACTGTTGAAAGGATTGACTTCCTGCCTAGAATAGTTTCTGCTGTGCTTCTTATCCTTCTTGTGGAGATTTCAGATTATCTGAATTGTTTTTCTATATTGAGAAAAAACGCAACAATTCTCCCACCTGAGAGGAATGTAAACTGTAGTAAGTTAGCTGAACCAATCCGTAAAATTTTTACATTGTTTGTTGCAAAATGCAGCGCTGGTGTCTCCATCACTAACCTTTTCTATCCCTCATTGCTCTTTCTTTGGCTGCACTAGGATACCTCTAAGCAAATCTATTCTCGAGACAGAGTGCCCTTTTGGTGAGCTATAAGCACACTCAATGGTAGGCTGAAATACTAGCTTTTATCTATGGCGAAATGGAATCATATCAGTGATTTTTTTTAAAAAGGAAGTTTAACTCTTGCTGTGGTTTGAATGCTTGCCCCTTCCAATCTCATGTTAAAATTTGATCCCCAATGTTGCAGGTGGGGCTTACTGGGAGGTGTTTGGTCATGGGGTTGGACCTTCATGAATGGATAATACCCTCCCTTAGAAATCTAAATCTATCCTCCCTCCTCGGTGCCCTCAGGAATGAGTGTACCATTCTTTATTCACCTGTAATTCCCCCACCCATCCTTTTTGAGATATTAATTACATGTATGTTACACTGCTGCATATTGTTTGACGTATCAGTGAGTTTCTGGCTTTCTTATTTTAGTTTATCCTTTGTCCTTTAGTTTGTAAAGCTTCTATTTTTTTCTATAAATTTTCTGATGTTAGGGTAAAATCCATTACTTATTCAATCTCATGGAATTTTTATTTTAAATATTTATTTTTCATCTATACATGCCCCATTTTTCATTTTATAACTTCTATTTTTCTCCTATGTTCAATTTTCATTTAAGTACCTTGACATATATATGTATTTATCTATATGTATTTATAAAATATATTTTCTTTAAGGACCTTGAAATTTCCTTCTTTTCTGTCATTTATAAATGACTTATTTTTATCCTGTTAATATATATCTTAATTATATATATCTTACGGCTTATTTGCATGTCAGAGATTTTTTTGTGGGTATTTTGATGTTATGCTATTGAATATCTAGATTTTATTGGCTACCTTTGAACAATGTTGTGGCAGGCAGTTCAGTAACTTCAGGATGAGTATTTGTCTGTTGTTGTTTTAAATCTTCTCTTTAAACTTTGTGGAGTTAGTCTAGAGCCATCTGTAATTTGGAGCTAAATGAGCACTGTCACTAGGGCATGAACCTCCAGTGGTCTTTACTGAATATCCTGGAGGTAAAGAGGGGATTCCCTTCTCTGATTAGAATTTGGAATATAAAGAGAAAAGAGAAAAATAGAAAGCTATGCATAAACACGTGCATTAAAATGAATTTTATGTGGGCTTTTTCATGAAAATGTTCCTAAGGTATTTTTTTTTAATTGTGGTAAAATACACATAACATAAAATGTACTCTGTTAACCATTTTAAGTGTACAGTTTAGTGGTACTAAATATAGTCATAACATTTGGCAGCCGTCCCTACCATCCATCTCCATAATTCGTTTCATCTTGTAAAACTGAAACTCTATAACAATTAAACAATACTTCCCCATTTCTTCCTCCCCCCAGCTTCTGCCAACCATCATTGTACCATCTCTATGATTCTGACCACTTTAATACAAATGGAATTATACTGTATTTGTCCTTCACTGACTAACTTATTTCACTTGGCATAACATCCTCAAGTTTCATCCAAGTTGCAACATACGTCAGAATATTTCCCTCATGTTTAAGGCTGAATAATATTCCATTGTATGCATATATCATATTGTGCTTATCCATTCATCTGTAGTTGGACACTTCAATTGCTTCTAAGTTTTAGCTATTGCCAATAACGTTGCTGCAAACATGGATGTGCAAATATTTTTTCAAGAGTCTGCTTTCAATTCTTTTACTATCCTGAGATGTGGTGCTGCTGAATCATATGGCAATACCATTTTGATGTTTTGAGGAACTACCATACTCTTTTCCACAGCAAACATAGCGTTTGGCATTCCCTCCAATACTGCAAAACGAATCGCCACATCCTTGTCTGTGGATTTTATTCACAAGTCCTGTGGCTCTCTCTACATCCCGGCCACCATGTGTTATTTTCTGTTTATGTATATGACATCAAAGGTGCAGGAAGTAATGAACTAAATTGGAAGGATAAACATGTAGAAAAATAGAGGTAAATACTGACTACATAAAACCATAAGAATAAGAATTTTGGATGATCTATCTATTATATACCTATTTATCTAACAGCTATCTGTTCCTCCATCTGTAATTAAAATATATTACAGTTAGAGAACAGAGGAAAAAGTAGGAATACATGAATTTAAATTTTAATTCTTCTTAGATTGTCTCACAGCATCATTATAGGAAAGAAAATTTATAGGTCAATATCTGTTAACTATAAATGTAACATTCTTAAAGAATTCAAATACATTAAATTACAGCATGAATAATATATTACAATCCATTCAAGTTTATTTTATTCCAGGAACACAAAAATACAAATTTCATTTGCAATTCAAAAAAAAACAGAAATCGATACATATGATTGATGTATGTACACACTTAATGTATTTTTAAATATACATTTTTAAAAAATAGAAATTTTTCTAGGGCAAATACTTAATATATCACTGAAAGTAGTGTTATTAGCTAATACTTTCCTAATAACTCTGGTATTACATAAGAAACAAAAATTAAAATTTCAGGTAAACTTAGAAACTAAAAATTTTAAAAATATTATTCTGTTATCCATATGTTCATATTTAATATTATTTCTTGTTTTCATTCGTCTTCAGTGTTGCTCTACTAAAATATAACATACAATACTAACTTTTGATTTCTGTTCTTATTACTCAGAATTGTATACATTTTCTCATGCTCTTAATTTAGTTATGCTACTTTTCTGTACTCTTGGAATTTTCACATTTGTGTTCACTCTCTTTTGAGTAACCATAGTATCAAATGAGCTTTTTTCCCTCTTTCTGATTTGAAGATTCATCTTCTCATAATTATTTTGTCCACTCAGTTTTTTTTTCATTCTCAGTTAAGCGCCTCTCATCTGGCTTCTTTTCATTTATAAGGTTTCCTTTCATCTTAAGCCAGTCTTTCATTTATATTTTGATTCTGTTTTGTGGAGGACATGCTTCCCTGAATTTTATGGAAGAGGCCAAAAGGTTTGTTCATGTTTTTACCTGATACATTGGATTAAATTATCTAATGCACACACTTTTAATTTAAGTCTAGGGGCAACTGTCTACTCTTGATTTTGTATAGTATTATTTTTCTTAACATCCAAGTCCATCTTCATCTATTTGTATAAGATCAATAAAAATATATTTGTCCAGAACCCTGCTTTGGCGGAGTTACTTCTTTCTAAGTAGTAGAGGTAGCAGTTGAGACATGAGCTGGGTTCTGGGTCAGTTTAGAGGGCTGGGCGACATTCCTCCTTTTGGTCTGTATGACTGAATGAATGTAGTTCTTGCTGTCTCGCTCCTCTCCTTAACACATTGAGCCATTGCAGCAGATAAGAAGGAATAATCTTGATCTGCCATTCAGGTGGAACACATGTTCTCTCCAACCACACCCATAGGTTGTACTCACACTCGGCCAGAAGGTATCCTGTCAATGATATGGAGATGTATCTATCTAGATAGATATCTACTTTGGTTTATGCTCTCTGGTTGCCCGTAAATTATCTCCTTAAAGTGAATATCAAAAGAGAGCTTGGTGATGACAGTATTATAAAATCCTCAGAATGCAGCACCCATACCCAGAGGAATTTGTAGATTCTGAGATTCTAATTCAGATACCAAACTATATAAAAGGGGAATTGGTAATTGAGGGTTGCTAGGCTCTTTGTTGAGCATATATGCTCTTTTCATGACTTCGAAATTATTTTAAAAATCTAAACTTTTTCTCAGTGTGCTCCAAGATGATTTCATTTGAATGCATAAGCACTAATTCTCCCCTAAGATTTGTACAATATATTTGTTCTGACAAGCGATAGCCAGCAACTCACTTCACAGCAATTTACAGCATTTCCATGATAAGTTGAATTATTTTTAACTAGACTCTCTTTGCCTTAATAAAAATATGAAGAAGCAATATACTTGTTCTAATTAGGTTCAAAAGTTGGCAGTCTCTCTCCTGGAAAGAACAGTAAAACTTTTCAGCGGCCTAATACGCATGTATAAACACACACACACACACACACACACACGCAAGCACTATTCATAATATTTAAAGCACATTCTGTTATATGACTTCATTTGTCTAGCACAAAATAAAACGATCTCAGTATATGTCAAGTATCAATTTTTTCGTATGGCCAATTATTGATATTTTATTTCTTAAAGATTAGAGTGTTCTTGAATCTCTTTCTATTTCTTTGTCAATGAACTAAACATTGGCAAATATGTAGGGTTTCCCACATAAGAACATTATTAACATCAAAATAGAAAGCTGGTGGTAGAAATAAAGATTGGGAACAGAGTCTCTACTCAACGTTCTAGTTCTGCCATACCATAACTTTGTGATCTCAGGAAATATCTCTCCATGTTGTCATCTCAATGTATAGTTCTGTCATTTTTCAATAAGAGCTTTTTGCTTAATTATGAAGTACTAGTTACTATAACCATTATTTTGAGCTTCATGTAAATCAAGAACACATGGACTCCACTTGCAAAACATCGAAAATGTAGTAGGGATTGGGGGCATCAAGCAACATTTTAAAATGTGTAAAGACAATGAGTAAGCAACAAAGTGTCCAATTTTTTAGGGGAAAGTTGCATACGTTAGGAAAAGGCAGGATTAAGTAACAGAGAATTTGAATGATAACTGGCCAATTGGTGTCATTTACAATTGCAAGTCATACAAATGAAGTTTTCTGTTTTAAAGAGAAAAGGAGTTATTTAGAATGGGTCAACCTATTGGGGAAGCAATGTAGTTAGAGACAATTCCCAAAACCATGTGAGCAAATGCTCTGTAGAGCGCACCAATGCAATGCTGCCATTGTGAGGCCAAGTCTCTCCTCGTCTTGGTACTGAGCCCTCCGTTCTGCCTCCATCATTGCCACTGTAGCTGCCATAAAATGATCCCTCAACCACGCTGCCCAGAAACAAAGAAAGAATTCTGTCCTTCCGCGCTCTCATATCAATTTCCAACATCAGGTGAGCCTTTGATGGGCACTATTCAGTTCCCTTATCCCTGAAATAGATGCAGTAAAAATATAGAAATTGCCTATGTGTTTCCCAATAAGACACATATGGAAGCCTGTTTTCCCACAACAGGGAGGAGTTTGCACAATGGGTGTTCAAAGGAACAATATTCCCTGTAAACCATACTTTGCCCATATGAAGAAAAGCAATAAGGATTATTTAGTAAATAGACATGGAAACTCATCCAGGGTTGGCTGATGAGAAGCTGGTTAGCAAAGTGGTCTGCCTTCAGTTAGGACAAGGTCTGTGCTTCCCACGGGTTCTCTCCACAGCAGGAGGGATGCAAACTTCCCTTTCCTCCCCTGCACCTACCCTCAAATGGCCCAGAGGTCTTCAGGTGCTAGAATTTCTCAATTAATGCTGCACAAAATATCAGACAGCCTTGGCTGTCACAGTCTGTTCTCATGAAGCTAGTCTCCACTCACTACATAAAACAGGAGAGTAAGAACAAGGGTGTTTAACGCTACCCTAGCTCAAACAAGTTTCTCTCTGTATTATGTCAAGAACCTGGGAACCAGTGCATCTTCTGCTTTCCCTTCTTGGATTCTAGCCCAGACAAAAGAGGCAAGGGGCATTTCTTCAGAGGCTTTGAGCTTCACTACACAATGACCCAGGCTCTACATGCACCCTCTTTATATATTTCTACCTTGAAAAAAAAATTTTATATAATATTAATAATATATATTTTTATATAATAAACACATTTTTTATAGATAGATATAGATATACATAGATAAAGATTTCTAGTCAGACTTTTTAAAGGCTGGGCTGATCGCGGTGCCTCAAAACTATAATCCCAGCACTTTGGGAGGCCAAGGTGGCCAGATCTCTTGAGTCCAGGAGTTGGAGATCAGCCAGGGCAACATGGTGAAACCCCATCTTCACAAAAATTAGCTAGTATGGTGTCATGCACCTGCAGTCCCTGCTACTCAGGAGGCTGAGGTGGGAGAATCGCTTGAGCACAGTATGTGAAGGCTTCAGTGAGCTCTAATCATATGACTGCACTACATCTTGGGTGACAAAGTGAGACCCTCTCTCAAAAATAAAAAAAGTAAAATAAAAAGGCTACCACCATACTCACAGATAAGTGTGTCAGGTATATTTGCAGCTATCCTTCCTATATTCTATTTGGTAAAAAAAAAAAAATGCAAAGAACTCTTCTCATTCTAGATTTTTGTATTAATTAGACATTTGAAGTTTATAGCAGAAGAGCTATAATCATTTTTGGTATGTGTACTCTATAGAACAGATAGTGCAAACAGATATCAATGCTTTTTAAAAGTATATAAGGTTATTAGAAATATTTTAAACTACCTATAGGTATATATGTATCTAATTGAACTATCAAATGCAAGTAAGATCATTTCCTTAGCGTGTGAAATCCACTCAATTTATTAAAATATTTTCTAATATCTATTACAATAATATTTCTTAATTAGCTAACATAAGAGGAGTTTTAAGACATTTATTTATATGTACTTACTAGATTCAAACTCGATTCCACTATTTTCAGAAATCATACTCTGAGACAAGTCCTTTTTTTATCTAACTATGTTTCTGCCTATATTAAAAGACAGATATGTCAATTTTGCTAGTCATGCTGTTCCAAAGCTCTCCATCCTGATTATTTTTTGGTTTGTTCTAGCAGTCATTCAGAGACTTACTTATATTCAAATTTCTCTCTAGGTTTAACATTCATGTATGTCTTGTTGTGGTTTTGTCTATTTTTGCTGTATATAATTTAAGACATTTTATTGACATATACATGCAGAAAAGTACAATGATTAAATATGATAGCTTGATTAATGAAACACATGTATTTGCTTATAGCCATGTACGAAAATAGAACATTACTAAAAATAGTGATATTTCTCCTGTCCCTTTCCAAACACTAACCCTCATCCTCAATAGTAACAGATTTTTTTTTAACATAGAGTAATTTGGTCTACTTTCAAATTTTTATTAAATAAATCAGAGTATCTACTCTAAGTCTATGTTTATTTCATTGTTGTTATTTTGCTTGTAGTATTTATCTGCTAATGGACATGGTAGAATGAAGACGGCTACATACACATTTTTTAATTAATAGATTTTTTGAGCCCTTTGTGGCTCATGCCTTTAATCCCATCACTTTGGGAGGCTGAGGTGCGTGGATCATGAGGTCAGGAGATCCAGACAATCCTGGCCAACGTGGTAAAACCCCTTCTCTACTAAAATACAAAAAATTAGCTGATAGATAACATCAAGTTCACATCTGAGTTCTTAGCTGCACTGAGTCAAGCCTACTTACATCTTTGTCTTCCGCTGCACTTTTCCTTCCACATCACAGTCCAGGAATGCCTAGCTCTGTTGGCCTTCTACTCCATTTCCACTATTGTGCCCCTGCCACCGAGGCTTTTTGCCGCCACTGCCGCGGGTTTTTGCCTCTGCTGCTTTTTGCCACCGCCGCCGCGGCTTTTTGCTCCCAACGCTGGGGCTTTTTGCGGCTCTTTGACCCACCACCGGAGCTTTTTGTGGCTTTTTGCGCCCGCCGCCGTGCCTTTTTGCCCCCGCGACTGCGGCTTTTTCCCCCGCCTCGCGGCTTTCTGCCCCCGCCATTGTGGCTTTTCATCACCACTGCCACGGCTTTTTGCCCCCGCCGCTGCGGGTTTCTCCCGCCACAGATTTTGCCCCTGCCGCCGTGGCTTCTTACCCCCACCGCCGTGGAATTTTGCCCCCCGTCACCATGGCTTTTTGCGGCTTTTTGCCACTGCAGCTCTTTGCCCCTGAAGCCACGGCTTTTTGCCCTTGGTGCTGTGGCTTTTTGCGGCTTTTTGCCCCCGCCAATATGGCTTTTTGCTGCTGTGGCTCTTTGCCTCTGAAGCCACAGCTTTTTGCCCCTGTCGCCACGGGTTTTTGCCCCCGTGGCTTTTTGCTGACACGGCTTTTTGCCGCCGCCGCCATGGCTTTTTGCTCCTGCTGCTGAGGCTTTTTGCCGCCGCGGTTTTTGCCCCCGCCGCTGCTGCTTTTTGGGGCTTTTTGCCCCCCTACCACCGCGGCTTTTTGCCCCACCCCGCCGCTGCGGCTTTTTGCCCCCGCGGCTTATCCCCCCCGTCACCGCGGGTTTTTGTGGGTTTTTTGCACCCGCTCCCACTGCTTTTTGCCCCCACCGCTGCGGCTTTTTGCCCCACAACTACGGCTTTTTGCCGCCTTGGTTTTTTGCGCCCGAAGCCACAGCTTTTTGCCCTCGCCACCGTGGCTTTTTGCCTGCGCCACCACGGCTTTATGCCCCTGCCGCCGTGGGTTTTTGCCGCCACTGCTTTTTATCCCCACTGCTGCTGCTTTTTGCAGCTGCGGCTTTTTATCCCCACCGCCGTGGCTTTTTGGGCCCACCACCGTGGCTTTTTGCAGCCGCGGCTTTTTGTGCCCGCAGCCGTGGCTTTTTGTTCCTGCTGCTGAGGCTTTTTGCCACCGCAGTTTTTGCCCCCACTGCCGTGGCTTTTTGCTCCTGCCGCTGAGGCTTTTTGCCGCCGTGGTTTTTGCCCCCACCGCTGCTGCTTTTTGCGGCTTTATTCCCCCCGCCGCCGGGGCTTTTTGCCCCCTCAGCTATTTCCCCCCGTTGCTGCGGGTTTTTGTGGTTTTTCCACCCCCGCCGCTGCCGCGGCTTTTTGCCCCGCCGCTATGGCTTTTTGCCCCTGAAGCCACAGCTTTTTGCCCTCGCTGCTGCGGCTTTTTGCCCCACCGCTACAGCTTTTTGCCCCTGAAGCCACAGCTTTTTGCCCTTGCCGCCGCGGCTTTTTGCGGCATTTTACTATCCGCCACGGTGGCTTTTTGTCCCCACTGTGGCTTTTTATCCCCATCGCCATGGCTTTTTGGGCCCTCCGCCGTGGCTTTTTGCAGTCACAGCTTTTTATCCCCACCACCGAGGCTTTTTGAGCCCACCACCACGGCTTTTTCAGCCGCGGCTTTTTGCCCCCACCACCGTGGCTTTTGGCTCCTGCCACTGAGGCTTTTTGCCGCCGCGCTTTTTGCCCCTACCGCCGCTGCTTTTTGCGGCTTTTTGCACCCCGCCAGGGCGGCTTTTTTCCCCCGTGAATTTTTCCCCCTTCTAAGCAGGTTTTTGTGATTTTTTTGGCCCCGCTCCTGCTGCTTTTTGCCCCCACCGCCGCAGCTTTTTGCCCCACCGCTACGGTTTTTTGCCACTGTGGCTTTTTGCCCCTGAAGCCACAGCTTTTTACCCTCGCCACCGCGGCTTTTTGTGGCTTTTCGCCCCCGCCGCTGAGGCTTTTTGCCGCCGCGGTGTTTGTTCCCACCACCGCTGCTTTTTGCGGCTTTTTGCCCCCTGCCGCCACGGCTTTTTGCCCCTGCCACTATGGCTTTTTGCCCCTGCAGCTTTTTGCCCCTGAAGCCACGGCTTTTTGCACTCACCGCTGCGGCTTTTTGCACCCGCCACTGGGGCTATTTGTCCCCGCTTCCGCGGATTTATGCCACCGCTGTTTTTTCCCCCACCACCGCGGGTTTTTGACCCTGCCGCCGTGGGTTTTTGCCGCCGCGGCTTTTTTTTTAACCGCCACCGCCACAGCTTTTTGTCCCCGCCACCGCGGTTTTTCACCTCCGCCACCGAGGCTTTTTGCCCCCACCGCCTTGGCTTTTTGCAGGTTTTCACCCCCGTCGCTGCAGCTTTTTTGCCCCCTGCCACCGTGGCTTTTTCCCCCAGCCTCCGCGGCTTTTTGTGTTTTTTTTGCCCCCACTCCCGCTCCTTTTTGCCTTCACCTCAGCGGCTTTTTACCCCCCTCAGCGCGGCTTTTTGCCCCCACCGCTGCATCTTTCTCCAACCGCCACCATGGCTTTTTGCCCCTGCCGCCGCGCCTTTTTGCCGCCGTGGCCTTTTGCCCCCGCTGCCTTTGGAACCTTAATTTCACTTGAAATCTAATTTCCCACTGCCATGCAACCTAACATATTTGTATGTTAGACTCTGGGAATTAAGACATGAACATTTCTGGGAGGCCATTATTTTGTCTACAACAGACATAATCTATTTACCTGCAGATTAAAGTGTTCTTTATTTTTCTGCCTCTCTTTCTTAATTTTTTTTAAATAATATGAATTGTAGTAAAGAGAAAGAAAAGAAAGAAAAAAGAAGGAAGGAAGGAAAGAAGAAAGAAAAGGAGGAAATGAGAGAAGGGAGGGAGGAAGGGAGAAAGGCAGGAAAGGAGAAAAAACAAAGCAAGAACTCAAGAAAGAAAAAGAAAGAAAGTGAGAAAAGAAGGAAAGAGGAAGGAAAGGAGGAAAGGAGAACGGTAAAATGGAGGAAGGCAAACAAAAAAATAGAAAGGAGGAAGGAAGCAAAAAGGAAAGGAAGGGAGGGAGGAAGGAAAAAAGGGAGGGAGGAAGGGAGAAAAAGGAAAAAAGGGAGGGAGGAAGGGAGAAAAAGGAAAGAAAGTGAGAAAGAGTAAGAGAAAAGAAGGAAGAAAAGGGAGGGAGAAAGCAAGGGAGGGAGGAGGGAAGGAAGAATAAGGGGAAGGAAAGAAGGAAGGAAGGAGAAAAATGAAAGGAAAAGAAAGCGGAAAAGAAGAAAGGAAGGAAGAAGGCAAGGGAAGAGGAGAAAGGAAGATGGAAAGAAGGAAGGAAGAACGCAAATATTATAAATTCTGGGTTTGTTAGAGAATATGCCATACTATTTTTTTTTTCACTTGAAAGGAAAGAGTATCTGACATTGAAGATTGGATGTCTTGTTGGTGATATTGTTGTTCTTATCTTCCATATGATTACTGAGTTGGTGCCTAGTCTGTCCATTACTAAGACAAAAGTGTTGAAGTGTGCAAATATAATTTTGGATTTTTCTAGTTCGCCTTTGATTTCTTTCCTGTTTTACCTCATGTATTTGGAGGTTCTGTTATTAGCTGCGTACCCTAATTAGTAGGATGTTTACATCTTGAGAATTGATTATTATATTATTTATTATCTCTCATCTCTGATACTATTTCTTGTTCTGAACTCTGTTGTGTCTAGTATCAATGTAGTCCTTCCACAGCTTTATTTTAGTGTCTCCATGATACGGCTTTCTCCATATCTTGATGATAACCTATTTATATCTCTATATATTTGGAGCAAGATATAATATTTAGACTTGATTTTTTAAAGATTTTTCAAGATGGAATTCTTATTTCTTTTTGTTCTATTTGACATTCTCTGAGTTTCCTTTATCTGAAGTTTGATTTTCTGTCACTTCTTTTAGAATATTTTTGGCAGTTATTTTGAAATATATTTCTTTTGCTCCATTATTTTTCCCTCTTTTCTTTTTGGGATTTCAATCATAACTAGAGTAGGTAATTTCATCTCAGTCTTATGCAGGTACTTTTTCTCAGGGTCTCAGGAATGTAGCCTTCTCACACTTCTGTTCTTTTCCTGGCTGTGTTGGTGAGCTCAGTGATATTCCTCCTTCACCTTCAAGAGCAGTTTTGTTTTGTTTTTCCTGTTTTCATACTCCCAGTATCAGGAGTATTCTAAGTGTGGCAGTTTTTGTTGCCTTCCCCTACATATTAAGTGGAATATCTCGGTCTATTTGGACTCTTATGACAAAATAACATAAGCTGGGTGACTAAAAAACAACAGATATTTCTTTTTTCACACTTCTTGAGGCTGTAAGATCTCAGGTCAAGATGCTCCCAAATTCAGTGTTGATGAGAGCCCATTTCATGGTTCATAGATGGTGCCTTCTTTCTATGTCCTCACACAGTGGAAGGCACACAAGAACTCCATTGAGCTTCTTTTATAAAGGCACTAATCCGATTCATAAGGGCTCGGCCCCCAAGACCTGGTCACCTCCCAAGTGTTCTGCTCTCCCTGACCTGTATCATATACAGACTCTCTTGGATTCCTTACCAATTGCCTGAGACATCACAGTGGGTTTGTGGGGAAAACGTTTTCAAGATGATGGATCTTTCCCAACTTCTGCAGCTGTCAGCGGTCTCCCAATCTGACCAGCCCCACTTTGTCTTTAGGAATTTATTGATTATTCCAGCTTTACTTGTCATAGTGGTGTCTATTTGCATCTGTCCTATGTAAGTGTATCTGTCCTTTTTCTCCTTGCAGGTGCAAGTACTCAGGAGTACACTGTTGTTACTAATTACTCAGTATTGGTTGGTACACTGTCAAAGATCAAAAAACATTTTTAAAGATAAAAACAATTATTGGTAGTTGTGTAATGAAGGGTTAATTCTGCAGAGATGGCTTTCCAAAACCTTGCACATTCCAAAGGTCTTCAGGACTGGCCCTTGACAAGCTCCTGGGAGATGATAACCTATGAGCCCTTGGTATATGCTGCCTGATGAGAGTCTTTGTATACCTGAAAACGTAGGTCATACCAAATAACTGATGGTAACAACGTGATTTCTTGTGAGCACCTGTTTCTGTATGCCTATGACTTTGTGTAATGCCATATTAATATGACCTCTCTTAGGGCATAGGGAGGTTGGGAACTAAATAGCTAAGTTCAGTCACAGGACGCTCGATGCGTATGTGGTGGAATCCTAATAAAAACCCTGGACTCAAGACTGACTGAGCTTCCCTAGTTGGCAACAAGTTCACACATGTTGTCTCACACCATTGTAAAGAAAATTAGTCAGTGTGAAGTCTCCACTATGAAAGGACACCTGTAAGCTCACATCTGGTTTGTCCTGGACTCAATTTTATGTGCTTTTATGCTTCTGATTATTTTAATCTGGTTTCTTTCACTGTTAGAAACTATAACCACAAAAGAAAAATCAGCTTTCTTGAGTTATGTGAATCATTAAACCAAAGGGGGACTTGGGAAACCCCAATAAAAAGTATATATATTCTTAAAAAGAAAAAGAAAACTGGCTATAGCAGATATTGCTGATGACTTGTCTTCTATGTCCTGGACTCAATGTGTTCACCTGAAATTCACCTGTTTCCAGCTAACTGAGAGCTCCCCACATCATGCCTGTCTTTCTGATTTTTGGGCTTGCCTGCAAGCTTCTTGAGGCTAACCAGTGCTTCTCAACCACACATAGGAACAAGGAAGGAGTTAGGGGTGGAGAGTTAATGATTCTAAGGCAATCCTTAAGCAATAAGAGATGGGGATTCCACCATCCCCATCTCTTTGTAAAGTTATTTTGAGACAATCTCCATACCTCCATCATTACTGAGCACATAGCAGTAACTACTCATTCACACTGGCTTCATGTTCTGTTTCATTTTCTCCACTTCTGCGCTTTCTCACTCAATTTCTGATTAAAGAATTTGACCCCAAATATTTGTTTCATAGTCTATTTATGAGGGAATCCAGAGCCAAGACAATAACAATGGGAGCTTTGCAATGAGGGAGGGTGAGTATAATCATCAGAAGTTTACCTACCTCACTGGGAGCATGAAGGCCTGGAGAGCTTGATGTTTCAATGAGAGAAACATGTTGAATCTCAGTTGAATACCTATATATATATATGCAATAAGACGTGCCCTTTACTTATATCTAAGGAAAGTGCTCTTTACCCCTCTTTGTTGTTGTGTTTTTACCACTATTGCCTACACAAGCAGAATATCATACCCAGGATTTAAAGCCCTCACTGCAGGATTTTCAAGCTCATGTTTTCATCATCAGTCACTCTGCTTCCATGTGTTTTAAATCTAATCCTCATTCATCTGCTTTTACACCAGAGAATTCATCACTGACTTATTTTTGACTGACCTCCTTATAGAGCTGTCAAGTACACAATTTCTGCTGTGACCTTTCTCTTAGAGCTCAGTCATATAGCCTCTCAGTAGATATCATTTCCTCTTATCTTTCCTAATGAATTGTCAGTTAAAACTCAATATTTTTAAGATTGAGCTTACCATCTGCACACACACACACACACACCATCATTGGTGTATTCTCATAACCTTGAAACACTAACGTCACGTTGATGTCTGCCTTTTCTTTCTCTGCTACCTCATTCCTCATCCTTAGATTATTCTAAAAGATTCAATTAGATCAAGTTGGCTAATTATATTTTTAAGATCCTCTCTACGCTTACCAACTTTTCGTTTAACAAAATTTAAATATTTATGGCAGGAGACTGTTGAAATCCCCATGGATGACTGTGGTTTTACTATTTTACCTTTCAGTTTTAATAGGTTTTATATTATGTATTTTGAAGTAATGCTATTGTGTGCATACATATTTCTTATTTACATGACTTCTTGATGTATTTTCCCCTTTGTCATTTTGAAATGTTATTCTTCATCCCCAGTGATATTTCCTGTTCTGATGTCTACTTTGCTCATCACAGTTTTAGGGGCTTTTGGTTTGTTTGTTTTTCTAATTTTGGTTCAAGTAAGTTTCTTATAAATCTCTTCAATTCCATTTGATGATTCCATTTGATTCCATTAGAGGATTCCACTCAATTCCATTCGATGATGATTCCATTCGAGTCCATTCAATGATTCCATTCGAGTCCATTTGATGATTCCATTCGATTCCATTCGACGATGATTCCATTAGAGTCCATTCAATGATTCAATTCAATTCCATTCGATTCCATTCGATGATGATTCCATTAGAGTCCATTCGAGGATTCCATTCAATTCCATACGACGATGTTTCCATTCGAGTCCATTCGATGATTCCATTCGAGTCCATTCGATGATTCCATCTGATTCCATTCAATGAGGACACAATTCGAGTCCCT
Source organism: Homo sapiens (assembly GCF_000001405.40). Classification (NCBI taxonomy): domain Eukaryota; kingdom Metazoa; phylum Chordata; class Mammalia; order Primates; family Hominidae; genus Homo; species Homo sapiens. The sequence continues at coordinate 92,079,832 of NC_000002.12, forward strand.
TTGTTGATTTCATTTGATTCCGTTCTATGATGACTGCATTCGGTTCCATTTGATGATGATTCCAATGGATTCCATTCGATTTCTCCATTAGATTCCATTCCTTGCTGATTCCATTCCATTCCATTAGATGATGACTCCACTAGATTCCATTCAATGATGATTTCATTAGACTCCATTTGATGATGATCCAATTTGATTCTATTCAATGATGATTCTATTCGATTCCATTCAATAATTTCATTCGATTCCATTCGAAGATTCCATTCGATTCCATTCAATGGTGATTCCATTTGTGTCCAATCGATGATTCCATTCGATTCCATTCGATGATAATTCCATTTGAGTCCATTCGATGATTCCATTCGATTCCATGCAATGAAGATTCCATCGAGTCCATTCGATGATTTCATTTGATTCCGTTAGATGATGACTGCATTTGGTTCCATGATTCTAACGGACTCCATTTGATGACTCCATTCGATTCCATTCATTGATGATTCCATTCGATTCCATTTCATGATGATTCCATTCAATTCCATTCGATGATGATTCGATTCGATTCCATTTGATGATGATTCCATTCGATTCCATTCAATGATGATTCCATTGGATTCCATTCGATGATTCCATTTGATTACATTCGATGATGATTCCTTTTGGGTCCATTTGATGATTCCATTCTATTACATTCGATGATGATTCCATTTGATTATTCCATTCAACTCCATTTAATGTTTTCTTTCGATTCCACTCAATGTTGATTCCATTTGAGTCCATTCGATGATTCCATTCGAGTGCATTCCATGATTTCATTCGATTCCATTCGAAGCTGATTCCATGCGATTCCATTCAATGATTCCATTTGATTTCATTTGATGATGATTACATTAGATTCCATTCGATGATTCCATTCGAGTCCATTCAATGATTCCATTCGAGTCCATTAAATGATTCCATTTGATTCCATTAGATGATGACTCCATTCAAGTCCATTCAATGATGATTCCATTTGATTCCATTCGATGATTCCATTTGATTCCATTCGATGATTCCGTTGGATTCCATTCTTTGTTTTATTTTGATTCGTTTTGATAATGATTCCATTCTGTTTCATTCAATGATCCCATTTGATTCTATTCGATGATGTTTCCATTCGATTCCATTTGATGATGATTCCATTCGATTCCATTCGATGATTAAATTCGATTCCATTCGAGACCATTCGATGATTCCATTCAATTCCATTCAATAATGATTCCATTCGGGTCCATTCGATGATTCCATTCAAGTCCATTCGATGATTCCATCTGATTCCATTCAATGAATCCATTTGATTCCATTCTATGATGATTCCATTCGTTTCCATCCAAAGATGATTCCATTCGATTCCATTCAATGATTCCATTCGATTCCATTTGATGATAATTCCAATCAATTCCATTCAATGATTCCATTCGATTCCATTCGATGATGAGTCCATCCATTTCTATTTCATGATAATTCCATTCGTTTCAATTCGAAGGTGTTTCCATTCTATTCCATTCGATGTTGATTCCATTAGTTTCCATTGGATGATGATTCCATTCGAGTCCATTCAATGAAGATCACATTTGATTTCATTCCATAATTCTATTCGATTCCATTTGATGATGATTCCATTCGTTTCCATCCGATGATGATTCCATTTGATTCCATTCGATGACTATTCCATTCGAGTCCATTTGATGATTCCATTCGATTCCATTTGATGATGATTGCATTCGAGTCCATGGATTATTCCATTCCATTCCATTCCATTCGATGATTCCAATCGAGTCCATTTGATGATTCTCTTCAATTCCATTCGATAATTCCATTTGATTCCATTTGATGTTGATTCCATTCGAGTCCATTTGATGATTATTCCATTCGATTCTATTTGGTGATTCCATTCGATTCCATTTGATAATGATTCCATTTGAGGCCATTCAATGATTCCATTCAATTCATTCGATGACTCCATTCGATTCCATTCATTGATGATTCCATTCGATTCCATTTGATGATGATTGCATTCGATTTCATTCGATGATGATTCCATGTGATTCCATTCGATGATGACTCCTTTCAGTTCCATTTGATGATGATTCCATTAGGTTCCATTCGAAGATGATTCCATTCGAGTCCATTCGATGATTCCATTCGATGATGATTCCATTCGAGAACATTCATTGGTGATTCCATTCAATTCCATTCATTGATTCCATTCAATTCCATTCGACAATGATTCCAATCGATTCCATTCAAAGATTCCACTCAATTGCACTTGAGGATGATTCCCTTGGATTCCGTTCGATGATTCCATTTGATTCCATTCGATGATGATTGCCTTCAATTCCATTCGATGATTCCATTCGATTCCATTCGAAGATTCCATTCGATTCCATTCAATGATGATTCCGTTCAATTCCATTTGATGTTTCCATTTGATTCTATTCGAGGATTCCATTCGATTCCATTTGATGATGATTCCATTAAAGTCCATTCAATGATTTCATTCGAGTCAATTCAGTGATTCCATTTTAGTCCATTTGATGATTCCATTCAATGATGATTCCCCTAGATTCCATTTGATGATTCCATTCGAGTCCATTCAATAATTCCATTTGACTCCATTAAATCGTTATTCCATCCGATTTAATTCAATGGTTCCATTCGATTCCATTCGATGACAATTCCATTTGATTCCATTCGATGATGTTTCCATTCGATCCCATTCGATGATTAGCCATTCAATTCAATTCCATGATGATTCCATTTGATTCAATTCGATCATGTTTCCATTCGATTCCATTTCACGATGATTCCATTCGAGTCCATGCAATGATGAGTCCATTCAATTCCGTTCATTGATGATTCCATTCGATATCGTTCGATGCTTCTATTCGATTCCAATCAATGATTCCATCTGATTCTGTGCAATGACTCCATTCGATTCCATTCAGTGATGATTTCATTCAATTCCATCCGATGATGATTTCATTTGATTCCATTCGATGATTCCATTCGATTCTATTCGATGATGATTCCAGTCAAATCCATTCGATGATTCCACATGATTCCATTCAATGACTCTGTTCAATCCCATTTGATAATTCCCTTCGATTCCATTCGATGTTCATTTCATTTGATTCCATTCGGTGATTCCATTTGATTCTGTTCAATGATGATTGCATCCGACTTCATTCGATGATGATTCCATTCGAGTCCATTTGATTATTCCATTCGATTCCATTCCATGATGATTGCATTCAAGTCCATTCGATGATTCCATTCGATGCCATTCGATGATTCCATTAGATTCCATTTGATCATGATTCCATTCAATGCCATTCGATGTTTCCATTTGATTCCATTCAACGATGATTCCATTCGAGTCCATTTGATGATTCTGTTTGATTCCATTCGATGATGATTCCATTCGAGTCCATTAGATGATGATTCCATTCTAATCCATTTGATGATTCCATTCGATTCCATTTGATTATGACTGCATTCGGTTCCATCTGATGATGATTCCAACGGATTCCATTCGATTTCTCCATTTGATTCCATTCGTTTATGATTCCATTCATTTCCATTTGATGATGATTCCATTAGATTCCATTCCATGATTATTCCATTCGATTCCATTCAATGACGATTCCATTCGATTCCATTCAATGATGGTTCCATTCGATTCCATTTGATGATTCCATTTGTTTACATTTGATGGTGTTTCCATTCGGGTCCATTCAATGATTAAATTTGATTCCATTCGGTGATGATTCCATTCGAGTACATTCAATGATTCCATTCAAGTCCAGTCGATTATTCCATTTGATTACATTCGATTCCATTCGATGATGATTCCACTTGAGTACATTCAATGATTCCATTCAAGTCCATTGGATGATTCCTTGATTCCTTTTGATTCCATTCAATCATGATTCCATTTGAGTGCATTCAATTATTCCATTCAATTCTACTCAAAGATAATTCCATTCGAGTCCATTAGAGGATTCCATTTGATTCCATGCAATGATGATTCCATCGAGTCCATTTCATGATACCATTTGATACCATTCGATGATGACTGCATTCAGTTCCATTCGATGACGATTCCAACGGACTCCATTCGATGACTGCATTCGACTACATTCATTGATGATTCCATTCGATTCCAATCAACTATGGTTCCATTCAATTTTCTTTCGATGATGATTCCATTCATTTCCATTAGATGATGATTCCATTCAAATCCATTCCACGATGATTCCTTTTGATTCTATTCGATGATTCAATTTGTGTCCATTTGATGCTGATTCCATTCATGTACATTAGATGATTCCATTCATGTCCATTCATGTCCATTCTAGTCCCTTCATAGATTCCATCCAATTCCATTTGATGATGATTCCATTCGAGTCTAATCGATTATTCCATTCGATTCCATTTGATGATTCCATTCAAGTCCATTCGATTATACCATTCGAGTCTATTTGATGATTCCATTTGATTCCATTTGATGGTTATTCCATTTGATTCCATTCGATGATTCCGTTTGATTCCATTCGATGATTCCCTTCGATTTCTTTCAATGATGATTCCATTCTATTCCATTCGATGAATCCATTCTATTCTATTCGATGATGATTCCTTTTGATTACATTCAAAGATGATTCCATTCGATTCCATTTGATGATGACTTGGTTTGGTTCAATTCGATGATGATTCCAACGGATATTTGCATAGTTGGAGGATTTCTTAAGAAACGGGAATATCCTCATATAAAATCTAGACAGAAGCATTATCAGAAACATCTGTGTGATGTTTGCATTCAAGTCACAGAGTTGAACATTCCTTTTCATAGAGCAGGTTCGAAACACTGATTTTGTAGTATCTGCAACAGAACATTTGGATCGCTTTGTGGCATATGGTGAAAAAGGAAATATCTTCCCATAAAAAATAGACAGAAGCATTATCAGAAACTAGTTTGTGATGTGTGTACTCAACTCACAGAGTTGAACCTTTCTTTTGATAGAGCATTTTAGCAACATCGTTTTTGTAGAATCTGCAAGAGGATATTTGGATACCTTTGAGGATTTCGTTGGAAACGGGAATATCTTCATATAAAATCTAGACAGAAGCATTCTCAGAAACATCTGTGTGATGTTTGAATTCAAGTCCCAGAGTTGAACATTCCCTTTCATAGAGCAGGTTTGAAATACTCTTTTTGTAGTATCTGGAACTCACAATTTGATCGCTTTATTCTTATGGTGAAAAAGGAAATATTTTCCCATAAAAGCTACACAGAAGCATTCTCAGAAACTTGTTGTGATGTGTGTACACAACTAACAGAGTTGAAAATTTCTTTGGATAGACCAGTTTTGAAACACTCTTTTTGTAGAATCTGCAAGAGCATATTTGGATAGATTTGTGGATTTTCTTTGGAAACGGGAATATCTTCATATAAAATACAGACAGAGGCAGTCTCAGAAACATCTCTGTGATGTTTGCATTCAAGTCACAGAGGTGAACATTCCCTTTCATACAGCAGGTTTGAAACACTGATTTTGTATTATCTGCAACCGGACATGTTGAGCCATTTTTGGTCTACGGTGAAAAAGGAAATATCTTCCCAAAAAAACTAGACAGAACCATTCTCAGAAAATAGTTTGTGATGTGTGTACACAAATAAAAGAGTTGAACCTTTCTTTTGATAGAGCAGCATTGAAAGACTCTTTTTGTTGAATCTGCAAGTGGATATTTGCATAGCTTTGAGGATTTCATTGGAAAAGGAAATATCTTCATACAAAATCTAGACAGAAGCATTCTCAGAAACATCTCGGCGATGTTTGCATTCAAGTCACAGAGTTAAACATTCCCTTTCAAGAAGCAGGTTTGAAAAAACTGATTTTGTAGTTTGTGGAACTGGACATGTGGAGCCAGTGGTGGCCTGTGGTGAAAAAGGAAATATCTTCCATTAAAAACTACGCGGAAGGATTCTCAGAAACTAGTTTGTGATGTGTTTACTGAACTACCAAAGTTGAACCTTTCTTTTGATAGAGCAGATTCATGCTGCTATAAAGACACATGCACAAGTATGTTTATTGCGGCATTATTCACAATAGCAAAGACTTGGAACCAACCCAAATATCCAACAATGATAGACTGGATTAAGAAAATGTGGCACATATACACCATGGAATACTATGCAGCCATAAAAAATGATGAGTTCATGTCCTTTGTAGGGACATGGATGAAATTGGAAACCATCATTCTCAGTAAACTATCGCAAGAACAAAAAACCAAACACCGCATATTCTCACTCATAGGTGGGAATTGAACAATGAGATCGCATGGACACAGGAAGGGGAATATCACACTCTGGGGACTGTGGTGGGGAGTGGGGGGAGGGATAGCATTGGGAGATATACCTAATGCTAGATGACACGTTAGTGGGTGCAGCACACCAGCATGGCACATGTATACATATGTAACTAACCTGCACAATGTGCACATGTACCCTAAAACTTAAAGTATAATTAAAAAAAAATACCTTTAATAATAAAAAAAAAGATAGAGCAGATTTGAAACAATCTTTTTGTAGAATCTGCAAGGGATATTTGGATAGCTTTGAGGATTTCATTGGAAACTGGAATATCTTCATACAAAATCTACACAGAAGCATTCTCAGAAACATCTTTGGGATGTTTGCATTCAAGTAATAGAGTTGAACATTCCCTTTCATAGAGCAGGTTTGAAACATTCTTTTTGTGGAATCTGGAAGTGGATATTTGGATCACATGGAGGCCTAATTGTGAACAAGGAGATATCTTCACATAAAAAGTAGACGGAAGCATTCTCCTAAACTTGCTTGGAATGTGTGTACTTAACTAACAGAGTTGAGCCTTTCTTTTGATAGAGCAGTTTTGAAACACTCTTTTTCTAGAATCTGCATGTGGATATTTGGATAGATTTGAGGATTTCGTTGGAAACAGGAATATCTTCATATCAAATCAAGACACAAGCATTCTCAGAAACATCTTTGGGATGTTAGCATTCTAGTCAAAGAGTTGAACATTCCCTTTCATAGAGCAGGTTTGAAACATTCTTTTTATAGTATCTGCAAGTGGACATTTTCATCGTTTTGAGACCTATGGTGAAAAAGGAAATATCTTCGTATAAAAACTAGACAGAAACATTCTCAGAAATAACTTTGTGATATGTTTACTCAACTAACACAGTTGAACCTTTCTTTTGATAGAGCAGTTTGAAACACTTTTTTTGTAGAATCTGAAAGTGGATATTTGGATAGCTTTGAGGATTTCTTTGGGAAAGGGGATATGTTCATATAAAATCTAGACAGAAGCATTCTCAGAAACATCTCTGTGAGGATTGCATTCAAGTCACAGGTTAAATATTCCCTTTCATAGAGCAGGTTTTAAACAATGAATTTGTAGTATGTGGAATTGGACATTTGGAGCGCTTTGTGGCCTAATGTGAAAAAGGAAATATCTTCCCACAAAAACTAGACAGAAGTACTCTCATAAACTACCTTGCGATGTGTGTGCTCAACTAACAGAGCTGAACATTTCGTTTGATAGAGCAGTTTTGAAACACTCTTTTTGTAGAATCTGCATGTGGATTTGGATAGCTTTGAGGATTTCGTTGCAAAGGGGAATATCTCTATATAAAATCTAGACAGAAGCATTCACAGAAACATCCTTGGGGTGTTAGCATTCAAGTCACAGAGTGGAACATTCACTTTCATAGAGCAGGTTTGAAACACTATTTTTGTGGAATCTGGAAGTGGACATTTTGATCGCTTTGAGGCCTATGGTGAAAAAAGGGAATATCTTCGCATAAAAACTAGAGAGAAGTATTCTCAGACACATCTTTGGGATGTTAGCATTCTAATGACAGAGTTGATCATTCCCTTTCATAGAACAGGTATGAAACACTCTTTTTGTAGTATCTGGAAGTGGACATTTTGATCACTTTGAGGCCTATGGTGAAAAAGGGAATATCATCGCATAAAAACTAGACAGAAGCATTCTCATAAACTTGTTTGTGATGTGTGAACTCAACAAACAGAGGTGAACTTTCTTTTGATAGAGCAGATTTGAAACACACTTTTTGTAGAATCTGCATGTGGATATTTAGATAGCTTCGAGGATTTCATTAGAAACGGGAAAATCTTCATATGAAATAGAGACACAAGCATTCTCAGAAACCTCTTTGGGATGTTAGCATTCGTGTCGCAGAGTTGATCACTCCCTTTCATAGAGCAGGTTTGAAACACTCTTTTTGTCATATCTGGAAGTGGACATTTTGATCGCTTTGAGGAGTAAGGTGAAAAAGGAAATATCTTCCCACAAAAACTACACAGAAGCATTCTCAGAAACTACTTAGTTATGTGTTTACTCAACTAACGGAGTAGAACCTTTCTTTTGATAGACCAGTTTTGAAACACTCTTTTTATAGAATCTGCAAGTGGATATTTTGATAGCTTTGAGGATTTCCTTGGAAATGGGAATATCCTCATATAAAATCTAGATAAAAGCATTCTCAGAAACACCTTTGTGATGTCTGCATTGAAGTCAGAGAGTTCTACATTCCCTTTCATAGAACAGCTTTGAAACACTATTTTTGTAGTATCTGGAAATGGACATTTAGATCGCTTTGAGGCCTATGGTGAAAAAGGAAATATCTTTACATAAAAACTAGACGGAAGCAGTCACCCAAACTTATTGGGAATGTGTGTACTCAACTAACCGATTTGGATTTTCCTTTGATAGAGCAGTTTTGAAACACTCTTTTTGTGGAATCTGCAAGTGGATATTTGGATAGCTTTGAGGATTAGGTTGGAAACGGGAATAAGTTCTTATAAAACCTAGGCAGAAGCATTCTCAGAAACATCTCTGTGAGGATTGCATTCAAGTCCCAGAGTTGAACATTCCCTTTCATAGAGCAGTTATGAAATCATGATTTTGTAGTATGTGGAACTAGACATTTGGAGTGCTTTGTGGCCTAGTGTGAAAAAGGAAATATCTTCCCATAAAAACTAGGCAGAAGCATTCTCAGAAACCAGTTTGTGATATGTGTACACAACTAACAGGGTTGAACATTTCTTCTGAGAGAAGACTCTTGAAACACTCTTTTTGTAGACTCTGCAAGGGGTATTTGGATAGCTTTGAGGATTTCGTTAGAAACGTGAATATCTTCGTATAAAATCTAGACAGAAGCATTCTCAGAAACATCTTTGGGATTTTTGCATTCAAGTCAAGGAGTTGAACATTCCCTATCATGGAGCAGGTTTGCAAAACTCTTTTTGTGGAAACTGGACGTGGACATTTAGATCGCATTGAGGCCTGTGGTGAAAAAAGGAATATCTTCGAATAAAAACTAGAGAGAAGCATTCTCATAATCTAGTTTGTGGTGTGTGTGCTCAACTAACAGAGCTGAACGTTTCTTTTCATAAAGCAGTATTGAAACACTCTTTTTTTAGAATCTACCTGTGGATATTTGGAAAGCTTTGAGGATTTCGTTGGAAACGCGAATATCTTCTTATAAAATCTAGATAGAAGCATTCTCAGAAACATCTTTGGGGTGTTAGCATTCAAGTCAAAGAGTTGAACATTCCCTTTCATAGAGCAGGTTTGAAACACTCTTTTTGTGGAATCTGGAAGTAGACATTTTGATCGCTTTGAGGCCTGTGGTGAAAAAGGGAATATCTTCGCATAAAAACTAGACAGAAGTATTCTCATAAACTAGGTTGTGATGTGTGTGCTCAACTAACAGAGTCGAAACTTTCTTTTGATAGAGCAGTTTTGAAACACTCTTTTTGTAGAATTTGCATGTGGATATTTGGACAGCATTGAGGATGTCGTTGGAATCGGGAAAATCTGCATATGAAATGGACACACAAGCATTCTCAGAAACCTCTTTGGGATGTTAGCATTCCAGTCGCAGAGTTGAACATTCTCTTTCATAGAGCAGGTTTGAAACACTCTTTTTGTATATCTGGAAGTGGACATTTTGATCGCTTTGAGGCGAAAGGTGAAAAAGGAAATATCTTCCCACAAAAACTACACAGAAGTATTCTCAGAAACTACTTTGTGATGTGTTTACTCAACTAACAGAGGTGAACCTTTTTTTTTGATAGACCACTCTTGAAACACTCTTTTTATAGAATCTGCAAGTGGATATTTTGATAGCTTTGAGGATTTCCTCAGAAACGATAATATCTTCATATAAAATCTAGAGAGAAGCATTCTCAGAAACAACTCTGTGATGTTTGCGTTCAAGTCAGAGAGTTGTACATTCCCTTTCATAGAGCAGGTTTGAGACACTCTTTTTGTAGTATCTGGAAATGGACATTTAGATCCCTTTGAGGCTTATGGTGAAAAACGAAATATCTTCGCATAAAAAATAGACGGAAGCAGTCTCCAAAACTTGTTTGGAATGTGTGTACTCAACTAACAGAGTTGAATCTTTCTTTTGATAGAGCAGTTTTGAAACACTCTTTTTGTAGAATCTGCAAGCGGATATTTTTGTATAGCTTTGAGGATTTCGTTGGGAATGGGAATATGTTCATATAAAATATAGACAGAAGCATTCTCAGGAACATCTCTGTGAGGATTGCATTCAAGTCCCAGAGTTGAACATTCCCTTTCATAGAGCAGTTATGAAATCATGATTTTGTAGTATGTGGAACTAGACATTTGGAGTGCTTTGTGGCCTAGTGTGAAAAAGGAAATATCTTCCCATAAAAACTAGGCAGAAGCATTCTCAGAAACCAGTTTGTGATATGTGTACACAACTAACAGGGTTGAACATTTCTTCTGAGAGAGGACTCTTGAAACACTCTTTTTGTAGACTCTGCAAGGGGTATTTGGATAGCTTTGAGGATTTCGTTAGAAACGTGAATATCTTCGTATAAAATCTAGACAGAAGCATTCTCAGAAACATCTTTGGGATTTTTGCATTCAAGTCAAGGAGTTGAACATTCCCTATCATGGAGCAGGTTTGCAAAACTCTTTTTGTGGAAACTGGACGTGGACATTTGGATCGCATTGAGGCCTGCGGTGAAAAAAGGAATATCTTCGAATAAAAACTAGAGAGAAGCATTCTCATAATCTAGTTTGTGGTGTGTGTGCTCAACTAACAGAGCTGAACGTTTCTTTTCATAAAGCAGTATTGAAACACTCTTTTTTTAGAATCTACCTGTGGATATTGGAAAGTTTTGAGGATTTCGTTGGAAACGCGAATATCTTCTTATAAAATCTAGATAGAAGCATTCTCAGAAACATCTTTGGGGTGTTAGCATTCAAGTCAAAGAGTTGAACATTCCCTTTCATAGAGCAGGTTTGAAACACTCTTTTTGTGGAATCTGGAAGTAGACATTTTGATCGCTTTGAGGCCTGTGGTGAAAAAGGGAATATCTTCGCATAAAAACTAGACAGAAGTATTCTCATAAACTAGGTTGTGATGTGTGTGCTCAACTAACAGAGTTGAACCTTTCTTTTGATAGAGCAGTTTTGAAACACTTTTTTTGTAGAATTTGCATGTGGATATTTGGACAGCATTGAGGATGTCGTTGGAATCGGGAAAATCTGCATATGAAATGGACACACAAGCATTCTCAGAAACCTCTTTGGGATGTTAGCATTCCAGTCGCAGAGTTGAACATTCTCTTTCATAGAGCAGGTTTGAAACACTCTTTTTGTATATCTGGAAGTGGACATTTTGATCGCTTTGAGGCAAAAGGTGAAAAAGGAAATATCTTCCCACAAAAACTACACAGAAGTATTCTCAGAAACTACTTTGTGATGTGTTTACTCAACTAACAGAGGTGAACCTTTTTTTTGATAGACCACTCTTGAAACACTCTTTTTATAGAATCTGCAAGTGGATATTTTGATAGCTTTGAGGATTTCCTCAGAAACGATAATATCTTCATATAAAATCTAGAGAGAAGCATTCTCAGAAACAACTCTGTGATGTTTGCATTCAAGTCAGAGAGTTGTACATTCCCTTTCATAGAGCAGCTTTGAAACACTCTTTTTGTAGTATCTGGAAATGGACATTTAGATCCCTTTGAGGCTTATGGTGAAAAAGGAAATATCTTCGCAAAAAAAATAGATGGAAGCAGTCTCCAAAACTTGTTTGGAATCTGTGTACTCAACTAACAGAGTTGAATCTTTCTTTTGATAGAGCAGTTTTGAAACACTCTTTTTGTAGAATCTGCAAGTGGATATTTTTGTATAGCTTTGAGGATTTCGTTGGGAATGGGAATATGTTCATATAAAATATAGACAGAAGCATTCTCAGGAACATCTCTGTGAGGATTGCATTCAAGTCCCAGAGTTGAACATTCCCTTTCATAGAGCAGTTATGAAATCATGATTTTGTAGTGTGTGGAACTGGACATTTGGAGTGCTTTGTGTCCTATTGTGAAAAAGGAAATATCTTCCCATAAAAAATTGGCAGAAGCATTCTCAGAAACCAGTTTGTGATGTGTGTACTCAACTAACAGGGTTGAACCCTTCTTTTGAGAGAGCACTCTAGAAACACTCTTTTTGTAGAGTCTGCAAGTGGATATTTGGATAGCTTTGAGGATTTCCTTGGAAACGGCAATATCTTCATATAAAATCTAAACAGACGATTCTCAGAAACATCTTTGGGATGTTTGCATTCAAGTCACAGAGTTGAACATTCCCTTTCATGGAGCAGGTTGAAAACACCCTTTTTGTGCAATCTGGAAGTGGACATTTGGATCGCATTGGGGCCTATGGTGAAAAAGGGAATATCCTCGAATAAAAACTAGACAGAAGCATTCTCATAAAGCAGTTTGTGATGTGTGTGCTCAACTAACAGAGCTGAACCTTTCTTTTCATAGAGTAGTTTTGAAACACTCTTTTTGTGGAATCTGCATGTGGATATTTGGAAAGTTTTGAGGATTTCTTTGGAAAAGGGAATATCTTCCTATAAAATCTAGACAAAAGCATTCTCGGAAACATCTTTGGGATATTAGCCTTCAAGTCACAGAGTTGAATATTCCCATACATAGAGCAGGTTTGAAACACTCTTTTTGTTGCATCTGGAAGTGGACTTTTGGATCGCTTTGAGGCGTGTGGTGAAAAAGGGAATATCTTCGCATAAAAACTATACAGAAGTATTCTCATAAACTAGTTTGTGATGTGTGTTCTCAACTAACAGATTTCAACATTTCTTTTGATAGAGCGGTTTTGAAACACTCTTTTTGTAGAATTTGCATGTGAATATTTGTACAACTTTGAGGATTTTGTCGGAAACCTGGAAATCTTCCTATGAAATCGAGACAAGCATTCTCAGGAATCTCTTTGGGATGTTAGCATTCGAGTCACAGAGTTGAACATTCCCTTTCATAGAGCAGGTTTGAAACACTCTTTTTGTAGTGTCTGGAAGTGGACATTTGGATTGCTTTCAGGCTTAAGGTGAAAAAGGAAATATCTTCCCACAAAAACTACACAGAAGCATTCTCAGAAACTACTTTGTGATGTGTTTACTCAACTTCAGAGTTGAACATTTCTTTTGATAGAGCAGTTTTGAAACACTCTTTTTGTAGAATCTGCAAGAGGATATTTGGAGAGCTTTGAGGATTTCTTGGAAACGGGACTATCTTCATATAAAATCTAGACAGAAGCATTCTCAGAAGCAAATTTGTGATGTTTACCTTGAAGTCAGAGAGTTGTACATTCCCTTTCATAGAGCAGGTCTGAAACACTCTTTTTGTAGTATGTGGAAATGGACATTTAGATCGTTTTGACACCTATGGTGAAAAAGGAAATATCTTCACATAAAAACTAGACGGAAGCAATCTCCAAAACTTGTTTGGAATGTGTGTACTCAGCTAACAGAGTTGAATCTTTTTTTTGATAGACAGTTTTGAAACACTCTTTTTGTAAAATCTGCAAGTGGATATTGGGATAGCTTTGAGGATTTCCTTGGAAAGGGGAATATGTTCATATACAAACTAGACAGAAGAATTTTCAGAAACATCTCTGTGAGGATTGCATTCAAGTCCCAGAGTTGAACATTCCCTTTCATAGAGCAGGTATGAAAACCTGATTTTGTAGTATGTGGAACTGGTCATTTGGAGTACTTCGTGACCTATTGTCAAAAGGGAATATCTTGCCATAAAAACTAGGTAGAAGTATTTTCAGAAACAAGTTTGTGATGTGTATACTCAACTAACAGGTTTGAAACTTTCTTTTGATAGAGCACTCTTGATACACTCTTTTTGTAGACTCTGCAAGGGGATATTTGGATAGCTTTGAGGATTTCTTTGGAAACGGGAATATCTTAATATGAAATCTAGACAGAAGCATTCTCAGAAACATCTTTGGGATATTTGCATTCAAGTCAGAGAGTTGAACATTCCCTTTCATGGAGCAGGTTTGAGACACTCTTTTTGTGCAATCTGGAAGTGGACATTTGGATCGCATTGGGGCCTATGGTGAAAATGGAAATATCTTCGAATAAAAACTAGACAGAAGCATTCTCATAAACTAGCTTGTGATGTGTGGGCTCAACTGACAGAGCGGAACCTTTCTTTTGAGAGAGCACTGTTGAAACACTCTTTTTGTACACTCTGCAAGGGGATATTTGGACAGCTTTGAGGATTTCGTTGGAAACAGGATATCTTCATATAAAATCTCGACAGAAGCATCCTCAGAAACATCTTTGGGATGTTTGCAATCAAGTCACAGAGTTGAACATTCCCTTTCATGGAGCAGGTTTGAAACACTCTTTTTGTGGAATCTGGAAGTGGACATTTGGATCGCTTTGAGGCCTGCGGTGAAAAAGGGAATATCTTCGAATAAAATCTAGACAGAAGCATTCTCATAAACTAGTTTGTGATGTGTGTGCTTAACTAACAGAGCTGAACCTTTCTTTTCATAGAGCGGTTTTGAAACACTCTTTTTGTAGAATCTGCATGTGGATATTTGGAAAGCTTTGAGGATTTCTTTGGAAACGGGAATATCTTCACTTAAAATCTAGACAGAAGCATTCTCAGAAACGTCTTTGGGGTGTTAGCATTCAAGTCACATAGTTGAACGTTCCTTTTCATAGAGCAGTTTTGAAACACTCTTTTTGTGGAATCTGGAAGTGGACATTTGCATCGCTTTGAGGCCTGCGGTGAAGAAGGTATATTTTCGCATAAAAACTAGACAGAAGTATTCTCATAAACTAGTTTGTGATGTGTGTGTTCAACTACCAGAGTTGAACCTTTCTTTTGATAGAGCAGTTTTGAAACACTCTTTTTGTGTAATTTGCATGTGGATATTTGGACAGCTTTGAGGATTTTGTTGGAAACGGGAAAATCTTCATATGAAATCGAGACACAAGCATTCTCAGAAACCTCTTTGGGATGTTAGCGTTCGAGTCACAGAGTTGATCACTCCCTTTCATAGAGTAGCTTTGAAGCACTCTGTTTGTAATATCTGGAAGTGGACGTTTTGATCGCTTTGAGGCGTAAGGTGAAAAAGGAAATATCTGGCCACAAAAACTACACAGAAGCATTCTCAGAAACTACGTTGTGATGTGTTTACTCAACTAACAGAGTTGAACCTTTCTTTTGATAGAGCAGTTTTGAAACACTCTTTTTGGAGAATCTGCAGGTGGATATTTGGATAGCTTTGAGGATTTCCTTGGAAAAGGGAATATCTTCATATAAAATCTAGACAGAAGCCTTCGCAGAAACACCTTTGTGATGTTTGCATTGAAGTCAGAGAGTTGTACATTCCCTTTCATAGAGCAGCTTTCAAACACTCTTTTTGTAGTATCTGGAGATGGACATTTACATCGCTTTGAGGCCTATGGTGAAATAGGAAATCTGTTCGCATAAAAACTAGACGGAAGCAGTCTCCAAAACTTGCTTGGAATGTGTGTACTCAACTAACAGAGTTGAATCTCTCTTTTGATAGAGCAGTTTTGAAATACTCTTTTTGTAGAGTCTACAATTGGATATTTGGATAGCTTAGAGGATTTCGTTGGAAACGGGAATATGTCCATACAAAACCTAGACAGAAGCATTCTCAGAAAAATCTCTGTGAGGATTGCATTCAAGTCCCAGTGTTGAACATTCCCTTTCATAAAGCAGGTGTGAACACAAGATTTTGTAGTATATGGAACTGGACATTTGGAGTGCTTTGTGACCTATTGTGAAAAGGGAAATATCTTCCCATATAAACTAGGCAGAAGCATTCTCAGAAACCAGATTGTGATGTGTGTACTCAACTAACAGGGGTGAACCTTCCTTTTGAGAGAGCACTCTTGAAACACTCTTTTTGTAGACTCTGCAATGGGATATTTGGACAGCTTTGAGGATTTCGTTGGAAACGGGATATCTTCATATAAAATCTCGACAGAAGCATCCTCAGAAACATCTTTGGGATGTTTGCATTCAAGTCACAGAGTTGAACATTCCCTATCATGGAGCAGGTTTGAAACACTCTTTTTGTGGAATCTGGAAGTGGACATTTGGATCGCATTGAGGCCTACGGTGAAAAAGGGAATATCTTCGAATAAAAACTATATAGAAGCATTCTCATAAACTAGTTTGTGATGTGTGTGCTTAACTAACAGAGCTGAACCTTTCTTTTCATAGAGCGGTTTTGAAACACTCTTTTTGTAGAATCTGCATGTGGATATTTGGAAAGCTTTGAGGATATCGTTGGAAACGGGAATATCTTCACATAAAATCTAGACAGAAGCATTCACAGAAACGTCTTTGGGGTGTTAGCATTCAAGTCACAGAGTTGAACGTTCCTTTTCATAGAGCAGGTTTGAAACACTCTTTTTGTGGAATCTGGAAGTGGACATTTGGATCGCTTTGAGGCCTGCGGTGAAAAAGGTATATCTTTGCATAAAAACTAGACACAAATATTCTCATGAACTAGTTTGTGATGTGTGTGCTCAACTACCAGAGTTGAACCTTTCTTTTGATAGAGCAGTTTTTAAACACTCTTTTTGTGTAATTTGCATGTGGATATTTGGACAGCTTTGAGGATTTCGTTGGAAACGGGAAAATCTTCATATCGAGACACAAGCATTCTCAGAAACCTCTTTGGGATGTTAGCGTTCGAGTCACAGAGTTGATCACTCCCTTTCATAGAGTAGCTTTGAAGCACTCTGTTTGTAGTATCTGGAAGTGGACGTTTTGATCGCTTTGAGGCGTAAGGTGAAAAAGGAAATATCTTGCCACAAAAAATACACAGAAGCATTCTCAGAAACTACGTTGTGATGTGTTTACTCAACTAACAGAGTTGAACCTTTCGTTTGATAGAGCAGTTTTGAAACACACTTTTTGGAGTATCTGCAGGTGGATATTTGGATAGCTTTGAGGATTTCCTTGGAAAAGGGAATATCTTCATATAAAATCTAGACAGAAGCCTTCGCAGAAACTCCTTTGTGATGTTTGCATTGAAGTCAGAGAGTTGTACATTCCCTTTCATAGAGCAGCTTTGAAACACTCTTTTTGTAGTATCTGGAGATGGACATTTAGATCGCTTTGAGGCCTATGGTGAAATAGGAAATATCTTCGCATAAAAACTAGACGGAAGCACTCTCCAAAACTTCCTTGGAATGTGTGTTCTCAACTAACAGATTTGAGTCTTTCTTTTGATAGAGCAGTTTTGAAACACTCTTTTTGTAGAGTCTGCAAGTCGATATTTGGATAGCTTAGAGGATTTCGTTGGAAACGGAATATGTCCATAGAAAACCTAGACAGAAGCATTCTCAGAAAAATCTCTGTGAGGATTGCATTCAAGTCCCAGGGTTGAACATTCCCTTTCATAAAGCATGCGTGAACACAAGATTTTGTAGTATATGGAACTGGACATTTGGAGTGCTTTGTGACCTATTGTGAAAAAGGAAATATCTTCCCATATAAACTAGGCAGAAGCATTCTCAGAAAACAGTTTGTGATGTGTGTACTCAACTAACAGGGTTGAACCTTTCTTTTGAGAGAGCACTCTTGAAACACTCTTTGTAGACTCTGCAAGGCGATATTTTGACAGCTTTGAAGATTTCGTTGGAAACGGGATATCTTCATATAAAATCTCGACAGAAGCATCCTCAGAAACATCTTTGGGATGTTTGCATTCAAGTCACAGAGTTGAACATTCCCTTTCATGGAGCAGGTTTGAAACACTCTTTTTGTGGAATCTGGAAGTGGACACTTGGATCGCATTGAGGCCTACGGTGAAAAAGGGAATATCTTCGAATAAAAACTATACAGAAGCATTCTCATAAACTAGTTTGTGATGTGTGTGCTTAACTAACAGTGCTGAACCTTTCATTTCATAGAGCGGTTTTGAAACACTCTTTTTGTAGAATCTGCATGTGGATATTTGGAAAGCTTTGAGGATTTCGTTGGAAACGGGAATATCTTCACATAAAATCTAGACAGAAGCATTCTCAGAAACGTCTTTGGGGTGTTAGCATTCAAGTCACAGAGTTGAACGTTCCTTTTCATAGAGCAGGTTTGAAACACTCTTTTTGTGGAATCTGGAAGTGGACATTTGGATCGCTTTGAGGCCTGCGGTGAAAAAGGTATATCTTCGCATAAAAACTAGACAGAAGTATTCTCATTAACTAGTCTGTGATGTGTGTGCTCAACTACCAGAGTTGAACCTTTCTTTTGATAGAGCAGTTTTGAAAAACTCTTTTTCTAGAATTTGCATGTGGATATTTGGACAGCTTAGAGGATTTCGTTGGAAACGGGAAAATCTTCATATGAAATCGAGACACAAGCATTCTCAGAAACGTCTTTGGGGATGTTAGCGTTCGAGGCACAGAGTTGATCACTCCCTTTCATAGAGCAGCTTTGAAGCACTCTTTTTGTAGTATCTGGAAGTGGACGTTTTGATCGCTTTGAGGCGTAAGGTGAAAAAGGAAATATCTTGCCACAAAAACTACACAGAAGCATTCTCGGACACTACGTTGTGATGTGTTTACTCAACTAACAGAGTTGAACCTTTCCTTTCATAGAGCAGTTTTGAAACAGTCTTTTTGGAGAATCTGCAGGTGGATATTTGGATAGCTTTGAGGATTTCCTTGGAAAAGGGAATATCTTCATATAAAATCTAGACAGAAGCATTCGCAGAAACACCTTTGGGATGTTTGCATTGAAGTCAGAGAGTTGTACATTCCCTTTCATAGAGCAGCTTTGAAACACTCTTTTTGTAGTATGTGGAGATGGACATTTAGATCGCTTTGAGGCCTATGGTGAAATAGGAAATATCTTCGCATAAAAACTAGACGGAAGCAGTCTCCAAAACTGCTTGGAATGTGTGTACTCAACTAACAGAGTTGAATCTTTCTGTTGATAGAGCAGTTTTGAAACACTCTTTTTGTAGAGTCTGCAAGTGGATATTTGGATAGCTTAGAGGATTTCGTTGGAAACGGGAATATGTCCATACAAAACCTAGACAGAAGCATTCTCAGAAAAATCTCTGTGAGGATTGCATTCATGTCCCAGTGTTGAACATTCCCTTTCATAAAGCAGGTGTGAACACAAGATTTTGTAGTATATGGAACTGGACATTTGGAGTGCCTTGTGACCTATTGTGAAAAAGGAAATATCTTCCCATATAAACTAGGCAGAAGCATTCTCAGAAACCAGATTGTGATGTGAGTACTCAACTAACAGGGTTGAACCTTTCTTTTGAGAGAGCACTCTTGAAACACTCTTTTTGTAGACTCTGCAATGGGATATTTGGACAGCTTTGAGGATTTCGTTGGAAACGGGATATCTTCATATAAAATCTCGACAGAAGCATCCTCAGAAACATCTTTGGGATGTTTGCATTCAAGTCACAGAGTTGAACACTCCCTATCATGGAGCAGGTTTGAAAAACTCTTTTTGTAAAATCTGGAAGTGGACATTTGGATCGCATTGAGGCTTACGGTGAAAAAGGGAATATCTTCGAATAAAAACTAGATAGAAGCATTATCATAAACTAGTTTGTGATGTGTGTGCTTAACTAACAGAGCTGAACCTTTCTTTTCATAGAGCGGTTTTAAAACACTCTTTTTGTAGAATCTGCATGTGGATATTTGGAAAGCTTTGAGGATTTCGTTGGAAACGGGAAAATCTTCACATAAAATCTAGACAGAAGCATTCTCAGAGAAGTCTTTGGGGTGCTAACATTCAAGTCACAGAGTTGAACGTTCCTTTTCATAGAGGAGGTTTCAAACACTCTTTTTGTGGAATCTGGAAGTGGACATTTGGATCGCTTTGAGGCCTGTGGTGAAAAAGGTATTTCTTCGCATAAAAACTAGACAGAAGTATTCTCATGAACTAGTTTGTGATGTGTGTGCTCAACTACCACAGTTGAACCTTTCTTTTGATAGAGCAGTTTTTAAACACTCTTTTTGTGTAATTTGCATGTGGATATTTGGACAGCTTTGAGGATTTCGTTGGAAACGGGAAAACCTTCATATGAAATCGAGACACAAGCATTCTCAGAAACCTCTTTGGGATGTTAGCGTTCGAGTCACACAGTTGATCACTCCCTTTCATAGAGCAGCTTTGAAGCACTCTGTTTGTAGTATCTGGAAGTGGACGTTTTGATTGCTTTGAGGCGTAAGATGAAAAAGGAAATATCTTGCCACAAAAACTACACAGAAGCATTCTCAGAAACTACGTTGTGATGTGTTTACTCAACTAACAGAGTTGAACCTTTCTTTTGATAGAGCAGTTTTGAAACACTCTTTTTGGAGAATCTGCAGGTGGATATTTGGATAGCTTTGAGGATTTCCTTGGAAAAGGGAATATCTTCATATAAAATCTAGACAGAAGCCTTCGCAGAAACACCTTTGTGATGTTTGCATTGAAGTCAGAGAGTTGTACATTCCCTTTCATAGAGCAGCTTTCAAACACTCTTTTTGTAGTATCTGGAGATGGACATTTACATCGCTTTGAGGCCTATGGTGAAATAGGAAATCTCTTCGCATAAAAACTAGACGGAAGCAGTCTCCAAAACTTGCTTGGAATGTGTGTACTCAACTAACAGAGTTGAATCTTTCTTTTGATAGAGCAGTTTTGAAACACTCTTTTTGTAGAGTCTACAAGTGGATATTTGGATAGCTTAGAGGATTTCGTTGGAAACGGGAATATGTCCATACAAAACCTAGACAGAAGCATTCTCAGAAAAATCTCTGTGAGGATTACATTCAAGTGCCAGTGTTGAACATTCCCTTTCATAAAGCAGGTGTGAACACAAGATTTTGTAGTATATGGAACTGGACATTTGGGGTGCTTTGTGACCTATGGTGAAAAAGGAAATATCTTCCCATATAAACTAGGCAGAAGCATTCTCAGAAACCGGTTTGTGATGTGTGTACTCAACTAACAGGGTTGAACCTATCTTTTGAGAGAGCACTCTTGAAACACTCTTTTTGTAGACTCTGCAAGGGGATACGTTGACAGCTTTGAGGATTTCGTTGGAAACTGGAATATCTTCACATAATATCTAGACAGAAGCATTTTCAGAACCGTCTTTGGGGTGTCAGCATTCAAGTCACAGATTTGAACGTTCCTTTTCATAGAGCAGGTTTGAAACATTCTTTCTGTGCAATCTGGAAGTGGACATGTGGATCGCATTGAGGCCTACGGTGAAAAAGGTGTATCTTCGCATAAAAACTAGACAGAAGTATTCTCATGAACTAGTTTGTGATGTGTGTGCTCAACTACCAGAGTTGAACCTTTCTTTTGATACAGCAGTTTTTAAACACTCTTTTTGTGGAATTTGCATGTGGATATTTGGACAGCTTTGAGGATTTCGTTGGAAACGGGAATAT
This sequence comes from Homo sapiens, assembly GCF_000001405.40. Classification (NCBI taxonomy): domain Eukaryota; kingdom Metazoa; phylum Chordata; class Mammalia; order Primates; family Hominidae; genus Homo; species Homo sapiens. The sequence goes on from NC_000002.12 coordinate 92,101,708, forward strand.
CTTCATATGAAATCGAGACACAAGCATTCTCAGAAACCTCTTTGGGATGTTAGCGTTCGAGTCACAGAGTTGATCACTCCCTTTCATAGAGCAGGTTTGAAGCACTCTTTTTGTAGTATCTAGAAGTGGACGTTTTGATCGCTTTGAGGCGTAAGGTGAAAAAGGAAAAATCTTGCCTCAAAAACTACACAGAAGCATTCTCAGAAATTTATTTGTGATGTGCGCCCTCAACTAACAGTGTTGAACCTTTCTTTTGATAGAGCAGTTTTGAAACACTCTTTTTGTAAAATCTGCAAGAACATATTTGGACAGCTTTGAGGATTTCGTTGGAAACGGGATTGTCTTCATATAAACTCTAGACAGAAGCATTCTCAGAAACTTCATTGGGATGTTTCTATTGAAGTCGCAGTGTTGAACAGTCCCTTTCATGGAGCAGGTTTGAAACACTCTTTTTGTAGTATCTGGAAGTGGACATTTGTAGCGCTTTCAGGGCTATGTTGAAAAAGGAAATATCTTCCCATAAAAACTAGACAGAAGCATTCTCTGAAACTAGTTTCTGAGTTGTGTCCTCAAATAACAGAGTTGAATATTTCTTTTGACAGAACAGTTTTTTAACACTCTTTTTGTGGAATCTGCAAGTGGATATTTTGCTGGCTTTGAGGATTTCGTTGGAAACGGGAATACATACAAAAAGCAGACAGCAGCGTTGTGAGAAACGTCTTTATGATGTTTGCATTCAAGTCACAGAGTTGAACGTTCCGTATCATAGAGCAGGTTGGAAACACGCCTTTTGTCATATCTGGAAGTGTCCATTTGGAGTGCATTCAGGCTTGTGTTGAAAAAGGAAATACCTTCCCATAGAAACAAGACAGAAGCATTCTCAGAAACTTATTTGTGATGTGTGTACTCAACTAACAGAATTCAACAATCGTTTTGAAGGAGCAGTTTTGAAACACTCTTTTTGTGGAATCTGCAAGTGCATATTTAGCTAGATTTGAGGATTTCGTTGGAAACGGGATTACATATAAAAAGCAGGCCGCAGCATTCTCAGAAACTTCTTTGTGATGTTTGCATTCAAGTCACAGAGTTGAACATTCCCTTTCATAGAGCAGGATTGAAAAACTCTTTTTGTAGAATCTGGATGTGGACATTTGGAGCGCTTTCAGGCCTATGGTGAAAAAGGAAATATCTTCCCCTGAAAACTAGACAGAAGCATTCTCAGAAACTTATTTGTGATGTGTGCCCTCAACTAACAATGTTGAACCTTTCTTTTGATAGAGCAGTTTTGAAACACTATTTTGTTAAATCTGCAAGAGGATATTTGGATAGCTTTGAGGATTTCGTTGGAAACGGGATTGTCTTCATATAAACTCTAGACAGAAGCATTCTCAGAAATTTCTTTGGGATGTTTCAATTGAAGTCACAGTGTTGAACATTCCCTTTGTTAGAGCAGGTTTGAAACACTCTTCTTGTAGTATCTGGAAGTGGACATTTGGAGCGCTCTCAGGACTACCGTGAAAAAGGAAATATCTTCCAATGAAAGCTAGATAGAAGCAATGTCAGAAACTTTTTTATGATGTATCTGCTCAGCTAACAGAGTTGAACCTTTCTTTTGAGAGAGCAGCTTTGAAGCACTCTTTTTGTGGAATATGCAAGTGGATATTTGTCTAGCTTTGAGGATTTCGTTGGAAACGGGATTACATATAAAAAGCAGACAGCAGCATTCCCAGAAACTTCTTTGTGATGTTTGCATTCAAGTCACAGAGTTGAACATTCCCTTTCATAGAGCAGGTTTGAAACACTCTTTTTGTAGTATCTGGATGTGGACATTTGGAGCGCTTTCAGGCCTATGGTGAAAAAGGAAATATCTTCCCCTGAAAACTAGACAGAAGCATTCTCAGAAACTTATTTTGATGTGCGCCCTCAAGTAACAGTGTTGAACATTTCTTTTGATAGAGCAGTTTTGAAACACTCTTTTTGTAGAATCTGCAAGTGGATATTTGGATAGCCTAGAGGATTTCGTTGGAAACGGGAATATGTCCATACAAAACCTAGACAGAAGCATTCTCAGAAAAATCTCTGTGAGGATTGCATTCAAGTCCCAGTGTTGAACATTCCCTTTCATAAAGCAGGTGTGAACACAAGATTTTGTAGTATATGGAACTGGACATTTGGAGTGCTTTGTGACCTATTGTGAAAAAGGAAATATCTTCCCATATAAACTAGGAAGAAGCATTCTCAGAAACCAGTTTGTGATGTGCGTACTCAACTAACAGGGTTGAACCTTTCTTTTGAGAGAGCATGCTTGAAAAACTCTTTTTGTAGACTCTGCAAGGGGATATTTGGACAGCTTTGAGGATTTCGTTGGAAACGGGATATCTTCATATAAAATCTCGACAGAAGCATCCTCAGAAACATCCTTGGGATGTTTGCATGCAAGTCACAGAGTTGAACTTTCCCTTTCATGGAGCAGGTTTGAAACACTCTTTTTGTGGAATCTGGAAGTGGATATTTGGATCGCATTGAGGCCTACGGTGAAAAAGGGAATATCTTCGAATAAAAACTAGACAGAAACATTCTCATAAACTACTTTGTGATGTGTGTGGTTAACTAACAGAGCTGAACCTTTCTTTTCATAGAGCGGTTTGGAAACACTCTTTTTGTACAATCTGCCTGTGGATATTTGGAAAGCTTTGAGGATTTCTTTGGAAACGGGAATATCTTCACATAAAATCTAGACAGAAGCATTCTCAGAAACGTCTTTGGGGTGTTAGCATTCAAGTCACAGAGTTGAACGTTCCTTTTCATAGAGCAGGTTTGAAACACTCTTTTTGTGGAATCTGGAAGTGGACATTTGGATCGCTTTGAGGCCTGCGGAGAAAAAGGTATACCTTCGCATAAAAGCTAGACAGAATTATTCTCACGAACTAGCTTGTGATGAGTGTGCTCAACTACCAGAGTTGAACCTTTCTTTTGATAGAGCAGTTTTGAAACACTCTTTTTGTAGAATTTGCATGTGGCTATTTGGACACCTTTGAGGATTTCGTTGGAAACGGGAAAATCTTCATATGAAATCGAGACACAAGCATTCTCAGAAACCTCTTTGGGATGTCAGCGTTCAAGTCACACAGTTGATCCCTCCTTTCATAGAGCAGGTTTGAAGCACTCTTTTTGTAGTATCTGGAAGTGGACGTTTTGATCGCTTTGAGGCGTAAGGTGAAAAAGGAAATATCTTGCCACAAAAACTACACAGAAGCATTCTCAGAAACTACGTTGTGATGTGTTTACTCAATTAACAGAGTTGAACCTTTCTTTTGATAGAGCAGTTTTGAAACACTCTTTTTGGAGAATATGCCGGTGGATATTGGGATAGCTTTGTGGTTTTCCGTGGAAAAGGGAATATCTTCATATAAAATCTAGACAGAAGCATTCGCAGAAACACCTTTGCGATGTTTGCATTGAAGTCAGAGAGTTCTACATTCCCTTACATAGAGCAGCTTTGAAACACTCTTTTTGTAGTATCTGGAGATGGACATTTAGATCGCTTTGAGGCCTATGGTGAAATAGGAAAATCTTCGCATAAAAACTAGATTGAAGCAGTCTCCAAAACTTGCTTGGAATGTGTGTACTCAACTAACAGAGTTGAATCTTTCTTTTGATAGAGCAGTTTTGAAACACTCTTTTTGTAGAGTCTGCAAGTGGATATTTGGATAGCTTAGAGGATTTTGCTGGAAACGGGAATATGTCCATACAAAACCTAGACAGAAGCATTCTCAGAAAAATCTCTGTGAGGATTGCATTCAAGTCCCGGTGTTGAACATTCCCTTTCATAAAGCAGGTGTGAACACAAGATTTTGTAGTATATGGAAGTGGACATTTGGAGTGCTTTGTGACCTTTTGTGAAAAAGGAAATATCTTCCCATATAAACTAGGCAGAAGAATTCTCAGAAACCAGTTTGTGATGTGTGTACTCAACTAACAGGGTTGAACCTTTCTTTTGAGAGAGCACTCTTGAAACACTCTTTTTGTAGAATCTGCAAGGGGATATTTTGTCAGCTTTGAGGATTTCGTTGGAAAAGGGATATCTTCATATAAAATCTCGACAGAAGCATCCTCAGAAACATCTTTGGGATGTTTGCATTCAAGTCACAGAGTTGAACATTCCCTTTCATGGAGCAGGTTTGAAACACTCTTTTTGTGGAATCTGGAAGTAGACATTTGGATCGCATTGAGGCCTACGGTGAAAAAGGGAATATCTTCGAATAAAAACTAGACAGAAGCATTCTCATAAACTAGTTTGTGATCTGTGTGCTTAACTAACAGAGCTGAACCTTTCTTTTCATAGAGCGGTTTTGAAACACTCTTTTTGTAGAATCTGCATGTGGATATTTGGAAAGCTTTGAGGATTTCGTTGGAAACCGTAATATCTTCACATAAAATCTAGACAGAAGCATTCTCAGAAACGTCTTTGGGGTGTTAGCATTCAAGTCACAGAGTTGAACGTTCCTTTTCATAGAGCAGGTTTGAAACACTCTTTTTGTGGAATCTGGAAGTGGACATTTGGATCGCTTTGAGGCCTGCGGTGAAAAAGGTATATCTTCGCATAAAAACTAGACAGAAGTATTCTCATGAACTAGTTTGTGATGTGTGTGCTCAACTACCAGAGTTGAACCTTTCTTTGGATAGAGCAGTTTTGAAACACTCTTTTTGTAGAATTTGCATGTGGATATTTGGACAGCTTTGAGGATTTCGCTGGAAACGGGAAAATCTTCATATGAAATCGAGACACAAGCATTCTCAGAAACTTCTTAGGGATGTTAGCGTTCGAGTCACACAGTTGATCACTCCCTTTCATAGAGCAGGTTTGAAGCACTCTTTTTGTAGTATCTGGAAGTGGACGTTTTGATCGCTTTGAGACATAAGGTGAAAAAGGAAATATCTTGCCACAAAAACTACACAGAAGCATTCTCAGAAACTACGTTGTGATGTGTTTACTCAACTAACAGAGTTGAACCTTTCTTTTGATAGAGCAGTTTTGAAACACTCTTTTTGGAGAATCTGCAGGTGGATATTTGGATAGATTTGAGGATTTCCTTGGAAAAGGGAATATCTTCATATAAAATCTAGACCGAAGCCTTCGCAGAAACACCTTTGTGATGTTTGCATTGAAGTCAGAGAGTTGTACATTCCCTGTCATAGAGCAGCTTTGAAACACTCTTTTTGTAGTATCTGCAGATGCACAGTTAGATCACGTTGAGGCCTATGGTGAAATAGGAAATATCTTCGCATAAAAACTAGACGGAAGCAGTCTCCAAAACTTGCTTGGAATGTGTGTACTCAACTAACAGAGTTGAATCTTTCTTTTGATAGAGCAGTTTTGAAACACTCTTTTTGTAGAGTCTGCAAGTGGATATTTGGATAGCTTAGAGGATTTCGTTGGAAACGGGAATATGTCCATACAAAACCTAGACAGAAGCATTCTCAGAAAAATCTCTGTGAGGATTGCATTCAAGTCCCAGTGTTGAACATTCCCTTTCATGAAGCAGGTGTGAACACAAGATGTTGTAGTATATGGAAGTGGACATTTGGAGTGCTTTGTGACCTATTGTGAAAAAGGAAATATCTTCCCATATAAACTAGGCAGAAGCATTCTCAGAAACCAGGTTGTGATGTGTGTACTCAACTAACAGGGTTGAACCTTTCTTTTGAGAGAGCACGCTTGAAAAACTCTTTTTGTAGACTCTGCAATGGGATATTTGGACAGCTTTGAGGATTTCGTTGGAAACGGGATATCTTCATATAAAATCTCGACAGAAGCATCCTCAGAAACATCTTTGGGATGTTTGCATTCAAGTCACAGAGTTGAACATTCCCTTTCATGGAGCAGGTTTGAAACACTCTTTTTGTGGAATCTGGAAGGGGACCTTTGGGTCGCATTGAGGCCTACGGTGAAAAAGGGAATATCTTCGAATAAAAACTAGACAGAAGCATTCTCATAAACTAGTTTGTGATGTGTGTGCTTAACTAACAGAGCTGAACCTTTCTTTTCATTGAGCGGTTTTGAAACACTCTTTTTGTAGAATCTGCAAGTGGATATTTGGCTGGCTCTGAGGATTTCGTTGGAAACGGGAATACATTTAAAAAGCAGACGGCAGCATTCTCAGCAACTTCTTTGTGATGTTTCCATTGAAGTCCCAGTGTTGAACATTCCATTTGATAGAGCAGGTTTGAAACACGCCTTTTGTCATGTCTGGAAGCTGTCCATTTGGAGCACATTCCGGCTTGTGTTGAAAAAGGAAATATCCTCTCATAAAAACTAGACAGAAGCATTCTCTGAAACTTATTTGTGATGTGTGTACTCAACTAACAGAATTGAACCATCGTTTTGAAAGAGCAATTTTGAAACACTCTTTTTCTGGAATCTGCAAGTCGATATTTGTCTAGCATTGAGGATTTCGTTGGAAACGGGATTACATATAAAAGCAGACAGCAGCATTCCCAGAAACTTCTTTGTGATGTTTGCATTCAAGTCACAGAGTTTAACATTCCCTTTCATAGAGCAGGTTTGAAACACTCTTTTTGTAGTATCTGGATGTGGACATTTGGAGCGCTTTCAGGCCTATGGTGAAAAAGGAAATATCTTCCCCTGAAAACTAGACAGAAGCATTCTCAGAATCTTATTTGTGATGTGCGCCCCCAACTAACAGTGTTGAACCTTTCTTTTGATAGAGCAGTTTTGAAACACACTTTTTGTAAAATCTGCAAGAAGATATTTGGATAGCTTTGAGGATTTCGTTGGAAACGGGATTGTCTTCATATAAACTCTAGACAGAAGCTTTCTCAGAAACTTCATTGTGATGTTTCAACTGAAGTCACAGTGTTGAACAGTCCCTTTCATAGAGCAGGTTTGAAACACTCTTTTTGTAGTATCTGGAAGTGGACATTTGGAGCGCTCTCAGGACTACTGTGAAAAAGGAAATATCTTCCAATAAAAGCTAGATAGAAGCAATGTCAGAAATTTTTCATGATGTATCTACTCAGCTAACAGAGTTGAACCTTTCTTTTGAGAGACCAGTTTTAAAACACTCTTTTTGGGGAATATGCAAGTGGATATTAGGCCAGCTTGGAGGATTTCGTTGGAAACGGGAATCCATATAAAAAGCAGACAGCAGCATTGTCAGAAACTTCTTTGTCATGTTTGCATTGAAGTCCCAGAGTTCAACATTCCCTTTAATAGAGCAGGTCTGAAACACGCCTTTTGTCATATCTGGACGTTGTCCATTTGGAGCGCATTCCGGCTTGTCTTGAAAAAGGAAATATCCTCCCATAAAAACTAGATAGAAGCATTCTCAGAAACTTATTTGTGATGTGTGTACTCAACTAACAGAATTGAACCATCGTTGTGGAAGAGCAGTTTGGAAACACTCTTTTTGTGGAATCTGCAAGTGGATATTTGTCTAGCTTTGAGGATTTCGTTGGAAACGGGATTACATATAAAAAGCAGGCCGCAGCATTCCCAGAAACTTCTTTGTGACGGTTGCATTCAAGTCACAGAGTTGAACATTCCCTTTCATAGAGAAGGTTTGAAACACTCTTTTTGTAGTATCTGGATGTGGACATTTGGAGCGCTTTCAGGCCTATGGTGAAAAAGGAAATATCTTCCCCTGAAAACTAGACAGAAGCATTCTCAGAAACTTATTTGTGATGTGCGCCCTCAAGTAACAGTGTTGAACCTTTCTTTTGATAGAGCAGTTTTGAAACACTCTTTTTGTAAAATCTGCAAGAGGATATTTGGATAGCTTTGAGGATTTCGTTGGAAACGGGATTGTCTTCATATAAACTCTAGACAGAAGCATTCTCATAAATTTCTTTGGGATGTTTTAATTGAAGTCACAGTGTTGAACATTCCCTGTCATAGAGCAGGTTTGAAACACTCTTCTTGTAGTATCTGGAAGTGGACATTTGGAGCGCTCTCAGGACTACAGTGAAAAAGGAAATATCTTCCAATAAAAGCTAGATAGAAGCAATGTCAGAAACTTTTTCATGATGTATCTGCTCAGCTAACAGAGTTGAACCTTTCTTTTGAGAGAGCAGTTTTTAAACACTCTTTTTGTGGAATCTGCAAGTGGATATTTGTCTAGCTTTGATGATTTCGTTGGAAACGGGATTACATATAAAAAGCAGACAGCAGCATTCCCAGAAACTTCTTTGTGATGTTTGCATTCAAGTCACAGAGTTGAACATTCCCTTTCATAGAGCAGCTTTGAAACACTCTTTTTGTAGTATCTGGATGTGGACATTTGGAGCGCTTTCAGGCCTATGGTGAAAAAGGAAATATCTTCCCCTGAAAACTAGACAGAAGCATTCTCAGAAACTTATTTGTGATGTGCGCCCTCAACTAACAGTGTTGAACCTTTCTTTTGATAGAGCAGTTTTGAAACACTCTTTTTGTAGAGTCTGCAAGTGGATATTTGGATAGCTTAGAGGATTTCGTTGGAAACGGGAATATGTCCATACAAAACCTAGACAGAAGCATTCTCAGAAAAATCTCTGTGAGGATTGCATTCAAGTCCCAGTGTTGAACATTCCCTTTCATAAAGCAGGTGTGAACACAAGATGTTGTAATATATGGAACTGGACATTTGGAGTGCTTTGTGACCTATTGTGAAAAAGGAAATATCTTCCCATATAAACTAGGCAGAAGCATTCTCAGAAACCAGGTTGTGATGTGTGTACTCAACTAACAGGGTTGAACCTTTCTTTTGAGAGAGCACGCTTGAAAAACTCTTTTTGTAGACTCTGCAAGGGGATATTTGGACAGCTTTGAGGATTTCGTTGGAAACGGGATATCTTCATATAAAATCTCGACAGAAGCATTCTCAGAAACATCTTTCTTTGGGATGTTTGCATGCAAGTCACAGAGTTGAACTTTCCCTTTCATGGAGCAGGTTTGAAACACTCTTTTTGTGGAATCTGGAAGTAGACATTTGGATCGCATTGAGGCCTACGGTGAAAAAGGGAATATCTTCGAATAAAAACTAGACAGAAGCATTCTCATAAACTACTTTGTGATGTGTGCGGTTAACTAACAGAGCTGAACCTTTCTTTTCATAGAGCGGTTTTGAAACACTCTTTTTTTAGAATCTGCCTGTGGATATTTGGAAAGCTTTGAGGATTTCTTTGGAAACGGGAATATCTTCACATAAAATATAGACAGAAGCATTCTCAGAAACGTCTTTGGGGTGTTAGCATTCAAGTCACAGAGTTGAACGCTCCTTTTCATAGAGCAGGTTTGAAACATTCTTTTTGTGGAATCTGGAAGTGGACATTTGGATCGCTTTGAGGCCTGCGGTGAAAAAGGTATATCTTCGCATAAAAACTAGACAGAAGTATTCTCAGGAACTAGTTTGTGATGTGTGTGCTCAACTACCAGAGTTGAACCTTTCTTTTGATAGAGCAGTTTTGAAACACTCTTTTTGTAGAATTTGCATGTGGCTATCTGGACAGCTTTGAGGATTTCGTTGGAAACGGGAAAATCTTCATATGAAATCGAGACACAAGCATTCTCAGAAACCTCTTTGGGATGTTAGCGTTCGAGTCACACAGTTGATCACTCCCTTTCATAGAGCAGGTTTGAAGCACTCTTTTTGTAGTATCTGGAAGTGGACGTTTTGATCGCTTTGAGGCGTAAGGTGAAAAAGGAAATATCTTGCCACAAAAACTACACAGAAGCATTCTCAGAAACTACGTTGTGATGTGTTTACTCAACTAACAGAGTTGAACCTTTCTTTTGATAGAGCAGTTTTGAAACACTCTTTTTGGAGAATCTGCAGGTGGATATTTGGATAACTTTGAGGATTTCCTTGGAAAAGGGAATATCTTCATATAAAATCTAGACCGAAGCCTTCGCAGAAACACCTTTGTGATGTTTGCATTGAAGTCAGAGAGTTGTACATTCCCTGTCATAGAGCAGCTTTGAAACACTCTTTTTGTAGTATCTGGAGATGCACAGTTAGATCACGTTGAGGCCTATGGTGAAATAGGAAATATCTTCGCATAAAAACTAGACGGAAGCAGTCTCCAAAACTTGCTTGGAATGTGTGTACTCAACTAACAGAGTTGAATCTTTCTTTTGATAGAGCAGTTTTGAAACACTCTTTTTGTAGAGTCTGCAAGTGGATATTTGGATAGCTTAGAGGATTTCGTTGGAAACGGGAATATGTCCATAAAAAACCTAGACAGAAGCATTCTCAGAAAAATCTCTGTGAGGATTGCATTCAAGTCCGAGTGTTGAACATTCCCTTTCATGAAGCAGGTGTGAACACAAGATTTTGTAGTATATGGAAGTGGACATTTGGAGTGCTTTGTGACCTATTGTGAAAAAGGAAGTATCTTCCCATATAAACTAGGCAGAAGCATTCTCAGAAAGCAGTTTGTGATCTGTGTACACAACTAACAGGGTTGAACCTTTCTTTTGAGAGAACACTCTTGAAACACTCTTTTTGTAGACTCTGCAAGGGGATATTTTGACAGCTTTGAGGATTTCGTTGGAAACGGGATATCTTCATATAAAATCTCGACAGAAGCATCCTCAGAAACATCTTTGGGATGTTTGCATTCAAGTCACAGAGTTGAACATTCCCTTTCATGGAGCAGGTTTGAAACACTCTTTTGTGGAATCTGGAAGGGGACCTTTGGGTCGCATTGAGGCCTACGGTGAAAAAGGGAATATCTTCGAATAAAAACTAGACAGAAGCATTCTCATAAACTAGTTTGTGATGTGTGTGCTTAACTAACAGAGCTGAACCTTTCTTTTCATTGAGCGGTTTTGAAACACTCTTTTTGTAGAATCTGCAAGTGGATATTTGGCTGGCTCTGAGGATTTCGTTGGAAACGGGAATACATTTAAAAAGCAGACGGCAGCAGTCTCAGAAACTTCTTTGTGATGTTTCCATTGAAGTCCCAGTGTTGAACATTCCATTTGAGAGAGCAGGTTTGAAACACGCCTTTTGTCATGTCTGGAAGCTGTCCATTTGGAGCACATTCCGGCTTGTGTTGAAAAAGGAAATATCCTCTCATAAAAACTAGACAGAAGCATTCTCTGAAACTTATTTGTGATGTGTGTACTCAACTAACAGAATTGAACCATCGTTTTGAAAGAGCAATTTTGAAACACTCTTTTTCTGGAATCTGCAAGTCGATATTTGTCTAGCATTGAGGATTTCGTTGGAAACGGGATTACAAATAAAAAGCAGACAGCAGCATTCCCAGAAACATCTTTGCGATGTTTGCATTCAAGTCACAGAGTTTAACATTCCCTTTCATAGAGCAGCTTTGAAACACTCTTTTTGTAGTATCTGGATGTGGACATTTGGAGCGCTTTCAGGCCTATGGTGAAAAAGGAAATATGTTCTCCTGAAAACTAGACAGAAGCATTCTCAGAAACTTATTTGTGATGTGCGCCCTCAACTAACAGTGTTGAACCTTTCTTTTGATAGAGCAGTTTTGAAACACTCTTTTTGTAGAGTCTGCAAGTGGATATTTGGATAGCTTAGAGGATTTCGTTGGAAACGGGAATATGTCCATACAAAACCTAGACAGAAGCATTCTCAGAAAAATCTCTGTGAGGATTGCATTCAAGTCCCAGTGTTGAACATTCTCTTTCATAAAGCAGGTGTGAACACAGGATGTTGTAGTATATGGAACTGGACTTTTGGAGTGCTTTGTGACTTATTGTGAAAAAGGAAATATCTTCCCATATAAACTAGGCAGAAGCATTCTCAGAAACCAGGTTGTGATGTGTGTACTCAACTAACAGGGTTGAACCTTTCTTTTGAGAGAGCACGCTTGAAAAACTCTTTTTGTAGACTCTGCAAGGGGATATTTGGACAGCTTTGAGGATTTCGTTGGAAACGGGATATCTTCATATAAAATCTCGACAGAAGCATTCTCAGAAACATCTTTCTTTGGGATGTTTGCATGCAAGTCACAGAGTTGAACTTTCCCTTTCATGGAGCAGGTTTGAAACACTCTTTTTGTGGAATCTGGAAGTAGACATTTGGATCGCATTGAGGCCTACGGTGAAAAAGGGAATATCTTCGAATAAAAACTAGACAGAAGCATTCTCATAAACTACTTTGTGATGTGTGCGGTTAACTAACAGAGCTGAACCTTTCTTTTCATAGAGCGGTTTTGAAACACTCTTTTTTTAGAATCTGCCTGTGGATATTTGGAAAGCTTTGAGGATTTCTTTGGAAACGGGAATATCTTCACATAAAATATAGACAGAAGCATTCTCAGAAACGTCTTTGGGGTGTTAGCATTCAAGTCACAGAGTTGAACGCTCCTTTTCATAGAGCAGGTTTGAAACATTCTTTTTGTGGAATCTGGAAGTGGACATTTGGATCGCTTTGAGGCCTGCGGTGAAAAAGGTATATCTTCGCATAAAAACTAGACAGAAGTATTCTCATGAACTAGTTTGTGATGTGTGTGCTCAACTACCAGAGTTGAACCTTTCTTTTGATAGAGCAGTTTTGAAACACTCTTTTTGTAGAATTTGCATGTGGCTATCTGGACAGCTTTGAGGATTTCGTTGGAAACGGGAAAATCTTCATATGAAATCGAGACACAAGCATTCTCAGAAACCTCTTTGGGATGTTAGCGTTCGAGTCACACAGTTGATCACTCCCTTTCACAGAGCAGGTTTGAAGCACTCTTTTTGTAGTATCTGGAAGTGGACGTTTTGATCGCTTTGAGGCGTAAGGTGAAAAAGGAAATATCTTGCCACAAAAACTACACAGAAGCATTCTCAGAATCTACGTTGTGATGTGTTTACTCAACTAACAGAGTTGAACCTTTCTTTTGATAGAGCAGTTTTGAAACAGTCTTTTTGGAGAATCTGCAGGTGGATATTTGGATAGCTTTGAGGATTTCCTTGGAAAAGGGAATATCTTCATATAAAATCTAGACAGAAGCCTTCGCAGAAACACCTTTGGGATGTTTGCATTGAAGTCAGAGAGTTGTACATCCCCTTTCATAGAGCAGCATTGAAACACTCTTTTTGTAGTATCTGGAGATGCACATTTAGATCACGTTGAGGCCTATGGTGAAATAGGAAATATCTTCGCATAAAAACTAGATGGAAGCAGTCTCCAAAACTTGCTTGGAATGTGTGTACTCAACTAACAGAGTTGAATCTTTCTTTTGATAGAGCAGTTTTGAAACACTCTTTTTGTAGAGTCTGCAAGTGGATATTTGGATAGCTTAGAGGATTTCGTTGGAAACGGGAATATGTCCATACAAAACCTAGACAGAAGCATTCTCAGAAAAATCTCTGTGGGGATTGCTTTCAAGTCCCGGTGTTGAACATTCCCTTTCATAAAGCAGGTGTGAACACAAGATTTTGTAGTATATGGAAGTGGACATTTGGAGTGCTTTGTGACATTTTGTGAAAAAGGAAATATCTTCCCATATAAACTAGGCAGAAAAATTCTCAGAAACCAGGTTGTGATCTGTGTACTCAACTAACAGGGTTGAACCTTTCTTTTGAGAGAGCACTCTTGAAACACTCTTTCTGTAGACTCTGCAAGGGGATATTTTGACAGCTTTGAGGATTTCGTTGGAAACGGGATATCTTCATATAAAATCTCGACAGAAGCATCCTCAGAAACATCTTTGGGATGTTTGCATTCAAGTCACAGAGTTGAACATTCCCTTTCATGGAGCAGGTTTGAAACACTCTTTTTGTGGAATCTGGAAGGGGACCTTTGGGTCGCATTGAGGCCTACGGTGAAAAAGGGAATATCTTCGAATAAAAACTAGACGGAAGCATTCTCATAAACTAGTTTGTGATGTGTGTACTTAACTAACAGAGCTGAACCTTTCTTTTCATAGAGCGGTTTTGAAACACTCTTTTTATAGAATCTGCATGTGGATATTTGGAAAGCTTTGAGGATATCGTTGGAAACGGGAATATCTTCACATAAAATATAGACAGAAGCATTCTCAGAAACGTCTTTGGGGTGTTAGCATTCAAGTCACAGAGTTGAACGTTCCTTTTCATAGAGCAGGTTTGAAGCCCTCTTTTTGTGGAATCTGGAAGTGGACATTTGGATCGCTTTGAGGCCTGCGGTGAAAATGGTATATCTTCACATAAAAACTGGACAGAAGTATTCTCACGAACTAGTTTCTGATGTGTGTGCTCAACTAACAGAGTTGAACCTTTCTTTTGACAGAGCAGTTTTTAAACACTCTTTTTGGAGAATCTGCAGGTGGATATTTGGATAGCTTTTAGGATTTCCTTGGAAAAGGGAATATCTTCATATAAAATCTAGACAGAAGCCTTCGCGGAAACACCTTTTTGATGTTTGCATTGAAGTCAGAGAATTGTACATTCCCTTTCATAGAGCAGCTTTGAAACACGCTTTTTGTAGTATCTGGAGATGGACATTTAGATCGCTTTGAGGGCTATGGTGAAATGGGAAATATCTTCGGATAACAACTAGTCGGAAGCAGTCTCCAAAACTTGTTTGGAATGTGTGTACTCAACTAACAGAGTTGAATCTTTCTTTTGATAGAGCAGTTTTGAAACACTCTTTTTTTACAGTCTGCAAGTGGATATTTGGATAGCTTAGAGGATTTCGTTGGAAACGGGAATATGTCCATACAAAACCTAGACAGAAGCATTCTCAGAAAAATCTCTGTGAGGATGGCATTCAAGTGCCAGTGTTGAACATTCTCTTTCATAAAGCAGGTGTGAACACAAGATTTTGTAGTATATGGAACTGGACATTTGGGGTGCTTTGTGACCTATTGTGAAAAAGGAAATATCTTCCCATATAAACTACGCAGAAGCATTCTCAGAAACCGGTTTGTGATGTGTGTACTCAACTAACAGGGTTGAACCTATCTTTTGAGAGAGCACTCTTGAAACACTCTTTTTGTATATTCTGCAAGGGGATATTTTGACAGCTTTGAGGATTTCGTTCGAAACTGGAATATCTTCACATAAAATCTAGACAGAAGCATTTTCAGAACCGTCTTTGGGGTGTCAGCATTCAAGTCACATATTTGAACGTTCCTTTTCATAGAGCAGGTTTGAAACACTCTTTCTGTGGAATCTGGAAGTGGACATGTGGATCGCTTTGAGGCCTGTGGTGAAAAAGGTGTATCTTCGCATAAAAACTAGACAGAAGTATTCTCATGAACTAGTTTGTGATGTGTGTGCTCAACTACCAGAGTTGAACCCTTCTTTTGATAGAGCAGTTATATACACTCTTTTTGTGGAATTTGCATGTGGATATTTGGACAGCTTTGAGGATTTCGTTGGAAACGGGAAAATTTTCATATGAAATCGAGACACAAGCATTCTCAGAAACCTCCTTGGGATGTTAGCGTTCGAGTCACAGAGTTGATCACTCCCTTTAATAGAGCAGGTTTGAAGCACTCTTTTTGTAGTATCTGGAAGTGGACGTTTTGATCGCTTTGAGGCGTAAGGTGAAATAGGAAATATCTTGCCTCAAAAACTAGACAGAAGCATTCTCAGAAACTTATTTGTGATGTGCGCCCTCAACTAACAGTGTTGAACCTTTCTTTTGATAGAGCAGTTTTGAAACACTCTTTTTGTAAAATCTGCAAGAAGATATTTGGATAGCTTTGAGGATTTCGTTGGAAACGGGATTCTCTTCATATAAACTCTAGACAGAAGCATTCTCAGAAACTTCATTGGGATGTTTCTATTGAAGTCGCAGTGTTGAACAGTCCCTTTCATGGAGCAGGTTTGAAACACTCTTTTTGTAGTATCTGGACGTGGACATTTGTAGCGCTTTCAGGGCTATATTGAAAAAGGAAATATCTTCCCATAAAAACTAGACAGAAGCATTCTCTGAACCTAGTTTCTGAGATGTGTCCTCAACTAACAGAGTTGAACATTTCTTTTGACAGAACAGTTTTGAAACACTCTTTTTGTGGAATCTGCAAGTGGATACTTTGCTGGCTTTGAGGATTTCGTTGGAAACGGGAATACATATAAAAAGCAGACAGCAGCGTTGTGAGAAACTTCTTTGTGATGTTTGCATTCAAGTCACAGAGTTGAACGTTCCGTATCATAGAGCAGGTTGGAAACATGCCTTTTGTCATATCTGGAAGTGTCCATTTGAAGCGCATTCAACCTTGTGTTGAAAAAGGAAATACCTTCCAATAGAAACCAGACAGAAGCATTCTCAGAAACTTATTTGTGATGTGTGTACTCAAATAACAGAATTCAACAATCGTTTTGAAGGAGCAGTTTTGAAACACTCTTTTTGTGGAATCTGCAAGTGCATATTTAGCTAGATTTGACGATTTCGTTGGAAACGGGATTACATATAAAAAGCAGACAGCAGCATTCTCAGAAACTCCTTTGTGATGTTTGCATTCAAGTCACAGAGTTGAACATTCCCTTTCATAGAGCAGGATTGAAAAACTCTTTTTGTAGAATCTGGATGTGGACATTTGGAGTGCTTTCAGGCCTATGGTGAAAAAGGAAATATCTTCCCCTGAAAGCTAGACAGAAGCACTCTCAGAAACTTAATTGTGATGTGTGCCCTCAACTAACAGTGTTGAACCTTTCTTTTCATAGAGCAGTTTTGAAACACAATTTTGTTAAATCTGCAAGAGGATATTTGGATAGCTTTGAGGATTTCGTTGGAAACGGGATTGTCTTCATATAAACTCTAGACAGAAGCATTCTTAGAAATTTCTTTGGGATGTTTCAATTGACGTCACAGTGTTGAACATTCCCTTTGATAGAGCAGGTTTGAAACACTCTTCTTGTAGTATCTGGAAGTAGACATTTGGAGCGCTCTCAGGACTACAGTGAAAAAGGAAATATCTTCCAATAAAAGCTAGATAGAAGCAATGTCAGAAACTTTTTCATGATGTATCTGCTCAGCTAACAGAGATGAACCTTTCTTTTGAGAGAGCAGCTTTGAAACACTCTTTTTGTGGAATATGCAAGTGGATATTTGTCTAGCTTTGAGGATTTCGTTGGAAACGGGATTACATATAAAAAGCAGACAGCAGCATTCCCAGAAACTTCTTTGTGATGTTTGCATTCAAGTCACAGAGTTGAACATTCCCTTTCACAGAGCAGGTTTGAAACACTCTTTTTGTAATATCTGGATGTGGACATTTGGAGCGCTTTCAGTCCTATGGTGAAAAAGGAAATATCTTCCCCTGAAAACTAGACAGAAGCATTCTCAGAAACTTATTTGTGATGTGTGTAGTCAACTAACAGTGTTGAACCTTTCTTTTGGTAGAGCAGTTTTGAAACACTCTTTTTGTAAAATCTGCAAGAGGATATTTGGATAGCTTTGAGGATTTCGTTGGAAACGGGATTGTCTTCATATAAACTCTAGACAGAAGCATTCTCAGAAATTTCTTTCGGATGTTTCAATTGAAGTCACAGTGTTGAACATTCCCTGTCATAGAGCAGGTTTGAAACACTCTTTTTGTAGTATCTGGAAGTGGACATTTGGAGCGCTCTCAGGACTACAGTGAAAAAGGAAATATCTTCCAATAAAAGCTAGATAGAAGCAATGTCAGAAACTTTTTCATGATGTATCTACTCAGCTAACAGAGTTGAACCTTTCTTTTGAGAGAGCAGTTTTGAAACACTCTTTTTGTGGAATCTGCAAGTGGATATTTGTCTAGCTTTGAGGATTTCGTTGGAAACGGGATTACATATAAAAAGCAGACAGCAGCATTCCCAGAAACTTCTTTGTGACGTTTGCATTCAAGTCACAGAGTTGAACATTCCCTTTCATAGAGCAGGTTTGAAACACTCTTTTTGTACTATCTGGATGTGGACATTTGGAGGGCTTTCAGGCCTATGGTGCAAAAGGAAATATCTTCCCCTGAAAACTAGACAGAAGCATTCTCAGAAACTTATTTGTGATGTGCGCCCTCAACTAACAGTGTTGAACCTTTCTTTTCATAGAGCAGTTTTTAAACACTCTTTTTCTAAAATCTGCAAGAGGATATTTGGATAGCTTTGAGGATTTCGTTGGAAACGGGATTGTCTTCATATAAACTCTAGACAGAAGCATTCTCAGAAACTTCATTGGGATGTTTCAATTGAAGTCACAGTGTTGAACAGTCCCTTTCATAGAGCAGGTTTGAAACACACTTTTCGTAGTATCTGGAAGTGGACATTTAGAGCGCTCTCAGGACTACGGTGAAAAAGGAAATATTCTCCAATAAAAGCTAGATAGAAGCAATGTCAGAAACTTTTTCATGATGTATCTACTCAGCTAACAGAGTTGAACCTTTCTTTTGAGAGAGCAGTTTTGAAACACTCTTTTTGTGGAATATGCAAGTGGATATTTGTCTAGCTTTGAGGATTTCGTTGGAAACGGGATTACATATAAAAAGCAGACCCCAGCATTCACAGAAACTGTTTTTTGATGTTTGCATTCAAGTCACAGAGTTGAACATTCCTTTTCACAGAGCAGGTTTGAAACACTCTTTTTGTAGTATCTGGATGTGGACATTTGGAGCGCTTTCAGGCCTATGGTGAAAAAGGAAATATCTTCCCCTGAAAACTAGACAGAAGCATAATCAGAAACTTATTTGTGATGTGCGCCCTCAACTAACAGTGTTGAAACTTTCTGTTGATAGAGCAGTTTTGAAACACTCTTTTTGTAAAATCTGCAAAAATATATTTGGATAGCTTTGAGGATTTCGTTGGAAACGGGATTGTCTTCATATAAACTCTAGACAGAAGCATTCTCAGAAACTTCATTGGGATGTTTCAATTGAAGTCACAGTGTTGAACAGTCCCTTTCATAGAGCAGGTTTGAAACACTCTTTTTGTAGTATCTGGACGTGGACATTTGGAGCGCTTTCAGGCCTATGGTGAAAAAGGAAATATCTTCCCCTGAAAACTAGACAGAAGCATTCTCAGAAACTTATTTGTGATGTGCGCCCTCAACTAACAGTGTTGAACCTTTCTTTTGATAGGGCAGTTTTGAAGCACTCTTTGTGTAAAATCTGCAAGAGGATATTTGGATAGCTTTGAGGATTTCGTTGGAAACGGGATTGTCTTCATATAAACTCTAGACAGAAGCATTCTCAGTAACTTCATTGGGATGTTTCAATTGAAGTCACAGTGTTGAACAGTCCCTTTCATAGAGCAGGTTTGAGACACTCTTCTTGTAGTATCTGGAAGTGGACATTTGGAGCGCTGTCAGGACTACGGTGAAAAAGGAAATATCTTCCAATAAAAGCTAGATAGAAGCAATGTCAGAAAATTTGTCATGATGTATCTACTCAGCTAACAGAGTTGAACCTTTCTTTTGAGAGAGCAGTTTTGAAACACTCTTTTTGTGGAATCTGCAAGTGGATATTTGTCTAGCTTTGAGGATTTCGTTGGAAACGGGATTACATATAAAAGCAGAGAGCAGCATTCTCAGAAACTTCTCTGTGATGTTTGCATTCAAGTCACAGATTTGAATATTCCCTTTCATAGAGCAGGTTTGAAACACTCTTTTTGTAGTATCTGGAAGTGGACATTGAGAGCGCTCTCAGGACTACGGTGAAAAAGGAAATATCTTCCAATAAAAGCTACATAGAAGCAATGTCAGAAACTTTTTCATGATATATCTACTCAGCTAACAGAGATCAATCTTTCTTTTGAGAGAGCAGTTTTAAAACAGTCTCTTTGTGGAATATGCAAGTTGATATTAAGCCAGCTTTGAGGATTTCCTTGGAAACGGGAATGCATATAAAAAGCAGACAGCAGCATTCTCAGAAACTTCTTTGTGATGTTTGCATTGAAGTCCCAGATTTGAACATTCCCTTTCATAGAGCAGGTTTGAAACACGCCTTTTGTCATATCTGGAAGTTGTCCATTTGGAGCGCATTCCGGCTTGTGTTGAAAAAGGAAATATCCTCCCATAAAAACTAGATAGAAGCATTCTCAGAAACTTATTTGTGATGTGTGTACTCAACTAACAGAGTTGAACCTTTCTTTTGAGAGAGCAGTTTTGAAACACTCTTTTTGTGGAATCTGCAAGTGGATATTTGTCTAGCTTTGAGGATTTCGTTGCAAACGGGATTACATATAAAAAGCAGACAGCAGCATTCCCAGAAACTTCTTTGTGATGTTTGCATTCAAATCACAGAGTTGAACCTTCCCTTTCATAGAGCAGGTTTGAAACACACTTTTTGTAGTATCTGTATGTGGACATTTGGAGCGCTTTCAGGCCTATGGTGAAAAAGGAAATATCTTCCCCTGAAAACTAGACAGAAGCATTCTCAGAAACTTATTTGTGATGTGCGCCCTCAACTAACAGTGTTGAACCTTTCTTTTGATAGAGCAGTTTTGAAACACTCTTTTTGTAAAATCTGCAAGAGGATATTTGGATAGCTTTGAGGATTTCGTTGGAAACGGGATTGTCTTCATATAAACTCTAGACAGAAGCATTCTCGGAAGCTTCATTGGGATGTTTCAATTGAAGTCACAGTGTTGAACAGTCCCTTTCATAGAGCAGGTTTGAAACACTCTTTTTGTAGTATCTGGAAGTGGACATTTGGAGCGTTCTAAGGACTACGGTGAAAAAGGAAATATCTTCCAATAAAAGCTAGATAGAAGCAATGTCAGAAACTTTTTCATGATGTATCTACTCAGCCAACAGAGTTGAACCTTTCTTTTGAGAGAGCAGTTTTGAAACACTCTTTTTGTGGAATCTGGAAGTGGATATTTGTCTAGCTTTGAGGATTTCGTTCGAAACGGGATTACATATAAAAAGCAGACAGCAGCATTCCCAGAATCTTCTTTGTGATGTTTGCATTCAAGTCACAGAGTTGAACATTCCCTTTCATAGAGCAGGTTTGAAACACTCTTTTTGTAGTATCTGGATGTGGACATTTGGAGCGCTTTCAGGCCTATGGTGAAAAAGGAAATATCTTCCCCTGAAAACTAGACAGAAGCATTCTCAGAAACTTATTTGTGATGTGCGCCCTCAACTAACAGTGTTGAACCTTTCTTTTGATAGAGCAGTTTTGAAACACTCTTTTTGTAAAATCTGCAAGAGGATATTTGGATAGCTTTGAGGATTTCGGTGGAAACGGGATAGTCTTCATATAAACTCTAGACAGTAGCATTCTCAGAAGCTTCATTGGGATGTTTCAATTGAAGTCACAGTGTTGAACAGTCCCTTTCATAGAGCAGGTTTGAAACACTCTTTTTGTAGTATCTGGATGTGGACATTTGGAGCGCTTTCAGCCCTATGGTGAAAAAGGAAATATCTTCCCCTGAAAACTAGACAGAAGCATTCTCAGAAACTTCATTGGGATGTTTCAATTGAAGTCACAGTGTTGAACAGTCCCTTTCATAGTGCAGGTTTGAAACACTCTTTTTGTAGTATCTGGAAGTGGACATTTTGAGCGCTCTCAGGACTTCGGTGAAAAAGGAAATATCTTCCAATAAAAGCCAAATAGAAGCAATGTCAGAAACTTTTTCATGATGTATCTACTCAGCTAACAGAGTTTAACCTTTCTTTTGAGAGAGCAGTTTTGAAACATTCTTTTTGTGGAATCTGCAATTGGATATTTCTCTAGCTTTGAGGATTTCGTTGGAAACGGGATAACATATAAAAAGCTACAGCAGCATTCCCAGAAACTTCTTTGTGATGTTTGCATTCAAGTCACAGAGTTCTACATTCCCTTTCATAGAGCAGGTTTGAAACACTCTTTTTGTAGTATCTGGAAGTGGACATTTAGAGCGCTCTCAAAACTATGGTGAAAAAGGAAATATCTTCCAATAAAAGCTAGATAGAAGCAATGTCAGAAACTTTTTCATGATATATCTACTCAGCTAACAGAGTTCAACCTTTCTTTTGAGAGAGCAGTTTTAAAACAGTCTTTTTGTGGAATATGCAAGTGGATATTAAGCCAGCTTGGAGGATTTCGTTGGAAACGGGAATCCATATAAAAAGCAGACAGCAGCATTCTCAGAAACTTCTTTGTGATGTTTGCATTGAAGTCCCGGATTTGAACATTCCCTTTCATAGAGCAGGTTTGAAACACGCCTTTTGTCATATCTAGAAGTTGTCCGTTTGGAGCGCATTCCGGCTTGTGTTGAAAAAGGAAATATCCTCCCATAAAAACTAGATAGAAGCACTCTCAGAAACTTATTTGTGATGTGTGTACTCAACTAACAGAATTGAACCATCGGTTTGAAAGAGCAGTTTTGAAACACTCCTTTTGTGGAATCTGCATGTGGATATTTGTCTAGCTTTGAGGATTTCGTTGGAAACGGGATTGTCTTCATATAAACTCTAGACAGTAGCATTCTCAGAAGCTTCATTGGCATGTTTCAGTTGAAGTCGCAGTGTTGAACAGTCCCTTTCATAGAGCAGGTTTGAAACACTCTTTTTGTAGTATCTGGAAGTGGACATTTGGAGCGCTTTCAGGCCTATGTTGAAAAAGGAAATATCTTTCCATAAAAACAAGACAGAAGCATTCTCTGAAACCGGTTTCTGAGGTGTGTCCTCAACTAACAGAGTTGAACATTTCTTTTGACAGAACAGTTTTGAAACACTCATTTTGTGGTATCTGCAAGTGAATATTTGGCTGGCCTTGAGGATTTCGTTGGAACCGGGAATACTTATAAAAAGCAGACAGCAGCATTGTGAGAAACTTCTTTGTGATGTTTGCATTCAAGTCACAGAGTTCAAAGTTCGGTATCATAGAGCAGGTTGGAAACACGCCCTTTGTCATATCTGGATGTGTCCGTTTGGAGCGCATTCAGGCTTGTGTTGAAAAAGGAAATATCTTCCCATAGAAACCAGACAGAAGCATTCTCAGAAACTTATTTGTGATGTGTGTACTCAACTAACAGAATTCAACAATCGTTTTGAAGGAGCAGTTTTGAAACACTCTTTTTGTGGAATCTGCAAGTGCATATGTAGCTAGATTTGAGCATTTCGTTGGAAACGGGATTACATATAAAAAGCAGACAGCAGCATTCCCAGAAACTTCTTTGTGATGTTTGCATTCAAGTCACAGAGTTGAACATTCCCTTTCATAGAGCAGGTTTGAAACACTCTTTTTGTAGTATCTGGATGTGGACATTTGGCGCGCTTTCAGGCCTATGGTGAAAAAGGAAATATCTTCCCCTGAAAACTAGACAAAAGCATTCTCAGAAACTTATTTGTGATGTGCGCCCTCAACTAACAGTGTTGAAGCTTTCTTTTGATAGAGCAGTTTTGAAACACTCTTTTTGTGGAATCTGCAAGTGGATATTTGTCTAGCTTTGAGGATTTCGTTGGAAACGGGATTACATATAAAAAGCAGACAGCAGCATTCCCAGAAACTTCTTTGTGATGTTTGCATTCAAATCACAGAGTTGAACCTTCCCTTTCATAGAGCAGGTTTGAAACACACTTTTTGTAGTATCTGTATGTGGACATTTGGAGCGCTTTCAGGCCTATGGTGAAAAAGGAAATATCTTCCCCTGAAAACTAGACAGAAGCATTCTCAGAAACTTATTTGTGATGTGCGCCCTCAACTAACAGTGTTGAACCTTTCTTTTGATAGAGCAGTTTTGAAACACTCTTTTTGTAAAATCTGCAAGAGGATATTTGGATAGCTTTGAGGATTTCGTTGGAAACGGGATTGTCTTCATATAAACTCTAGACAGAAGCATTCTCGGAAGCTTCATTGGGATGTTTCAATTGAAGTCACAGTGTTGAACAGTCCCTTTCATAGAGCAGGTTTGAAACACTCTTTTTGTAGTATCTGGAAGTGGACATTTGGAGCGTTCTAAGGACTACGGTGAAAAAGGAAATATCTTCCAATAAAAGCTAGATAGAAGCAATGTCAGAAACTTTTTCATGATGTATCTACTCAGCCAACAGAGTTGAACCTTTCTTTTGAGAGAGCAGTTTTGAAACACTCTTTTTGTGGAATCTGGAAGTGGATATTTGTCTAGCTTTGAGGATTTCGTTCGAAACGGGATTACATATAAAAAGCAGACAGCAGCATTCCCAGAATCTTCTTTGTGATGTTTGCATTCAAGTCACAGAGTTGAACATTCCCTTTCATAGAGCAGGTTTGAAACACTCTTTTTGTAGTATCTGGATGTGGACATTTGGAGCGCTTTCAGGCCTATGGTGAAAAAGGAAATATCTTCCCCTGAAAACTAGACAGAAGCATTCTCAGAAACTTATTTGTGATGTGCGCCCTCAACTAACAGTGTTGAACCTTTCTTTTGATAGAGCAGTTTTGAAACACTCTTTTTGTAAAATCTGCAAGAGGATATTTGGATAGCTTTGAGGATTTCGGTGGAAACGGGATAGTCTTCATATAAACTCTAGACAGTAGCATTCTCAGAAGCTTCATTGGGATGTTTCAATTGAAGTCACAGTGTTGAACAGTCCCTTTCATAGAGCAGGTTTGAAACACTCTTTTTGTAGTATCTGGATGTGGACATTTGGAGCGCTTTCAGCCCTATGGTGAAAAAGGAAATATCTTCCCCTGAAAACTAGACAGAAGCATTCTCAGAAACTTCATTGGGATGTTTCAATTGAAGTCACAGTGTTGAACAGTCCCTTTCATAGTGCAGGTTTGAAACACTCTTTTTGTAGTATCTGGAAGTGGACATTTTGAGCGCTCTCAGGACTTCGGTGAAAAAGGAAATATCTTCCAATAAAAGCCAAATAGAAGCAATGTCAGAAACTTTTTCATGATGTATCTACTCAGCTAACAGAGTTTAACCTTTCTTTTGAGAGAGCAGTTTTGAAACATTCTTTTTGTGGAATCTGCAATTGGATATTTCTCTAGCTTTGAGGATTTCGTTGGAAACGGGATAACATATAAAAAGCTACAGCAGCATTCCCAGAAACTTCTTTGTGATGTTTGCATTCAAGTCACAGAGTTCTACATTCCCTTTCATAGAGCAGGTTTGAAACACTCTTTTTGTAGTATCTGGAAGTGGACGTTTAGAGCGCTCTCAAAACTATGGTGAAAAAGGAAATATCTTCCAATAAAAGCTAGATAGAAGCAATGTCAGAAACTTTTTCATGATATATCTACTCAGCTAACAGAGTTCAACCTTTCTTTTGAGAGAGCAGTTTTAAAACAGTCTTTTTGTGGAATATGCAAGTGGATATTAAGCCAGCTTGGAGGATTTCGTTGGAAACGGGAATCCATATAAAAAGCAGACAGCAGCATTCTCAGAAACTTCTTTGTGATGTTTGCATTGAAGTCCCGGATTTGAACATTCCCTTTCATAGAGCAGGTTTGAAACACGCCTTTTGTCATATCTAGAAGTTGTCCGTTTGGAGCGCATTCCGGCTTGTGTTGAAAAAGGAAATATCCTCCCATAAAAACTAGATAGAAGCACTCTCAGAAACTTATTTGTGATGTGTGTACTCAACTAACAGAATTGAACCATCGGTTTGAAAGAGCAGTTTTGAAACACTCCTTTTGTGGAATCTGCATGTGGATATTTGTCTAGCTTTGAGGATTTCGTTGGAAACGGGATTGTCTTCATATAAACTCTAGACAGTAGCATTCTCAGAAGCTTCATTGGCATGTTTCAGTTGAAGTCGCAGTGTTGAACAGTCCCTTTCATAGAGCAGGTTTGAAACACTCTTTTTGTAGTATCTGGAAGTGGACATTTGGAGCGCTTTCAGGCCTATGTTGAAAAAGGAAATATCTTCCCATAAAAACAAGACAGAAGCATTCTCTGAAACCGGTTTCTGAGGTGTGTCCTCAACTAACAGAGTTGAACATTTCTTTTGACAGAACAGTTTTGAAACACTCATTTTGTGGTATCTGCAAGTGAATATTTGGCTGGCCTTGAGGATTTCGTTGGAACCGGGAATACTTATAAAAAGCAGACAGCAGCATTGTGAGAAACTTCTTTGTGATGTTTGCATTCAAGTCACAGAGTTCAAAGTTCGGTATCATAGAGCAGGTTGGAAACACGCCCTTTGTCATATCTGGATGTGTCCGTTTGGAGCGCATTCAGGCTTGTGTTGAAAAAGGAAATATCTTCCCATAGAAACCAGACAGAAGCATTCTCAGAAACTTATTTGTGATGTGTGTACTCAACTAACAGAATTCAACAATCGTTTTGAAGGAGCAGTTTTGAAACACTCTTTTTGTGGAATCTGCAAGTGCATATGTAGCTAGATTTGAGGATTTCGTTGGAAACGGGATTACATATAAAAAGCAGACAGCAGCATTCCCAGAAACTTCTTTGTGATGTTTGCATTCAAGTCACACAGTTGAACATTCCCTTTCATAGAGCAGGTTTGAAACACTCTTTTTGTAGTATCTGGAAGTGGACATTTAGAGCGCTCTCAGGACTACGGTGAAAAAGGAAATATCTTCCAATAAAAGCTAGATAGAAGCAATGTCAGAAACTTTTTCATGATATATCTACTCAGCTAACAGAGTTCAACCTTTCTTTTGAGAGAGCAGTTTTGAAACACTCTTTTTGTGGAATCTGCAAGTGGATATTTGTCTAGATTTGAGGATTTCGTTGGAAACGGGATTACATATAAAAAGCAGACAGCAGCATTCCCAGAAACTACTTTGTGATGTTTGCATTCAAGTCACAGAGTTGAACATTCCCTTTCATAGAGCAGGTTTGAAACACTCTTTTTGTAGTATCTGGATGTGGACATTTGGCGCGCTTTCAGGCCTATGGTGAAAAAGGAAATATCTTCCCCTGAAAACTAGACAGAAGCATTCTCAGAAACTTATTTGTGATGTGCGCCCTCAACTAACAGTGTTGAAGCTTTCTTTTGATAGAGCAGTTTGGAAACACTCTTTTTGTGGAATCTGCAAGTGGATATTTGTCTAGCTTTGAGGATTTCGTTGGAAACGTGATTACATATTAAAAGCAGACAGCAGCATTCCCAGAAACTTCTTTGTGATGTTTGCATTCAAGTCACAGAGTTGAACATTCCCTTTCATAGAGCAGGTTTGAAACACTCTTTTTGTAGTATCTGGATGTGGACATTTGGAGCGCTTTCAGGCCTATGGTGAAAAAGGAAATATCTTCCCCTGAAAACTAGACAGAACCATTCTCAGAATCTTATTTGTGATGTGCGCCCTCAACTAACAGTGTTGAAGCTTTCTTTTGATAGAGCAGTTTTGAAACCCTCTTTTGGTAAAATCTGCAAGAGGATATTTGGATAGCTTTGAGGATTTCGTTGGAAACGGGATTGTCGTCATATAAACTGTAGACAGAAGCATTCTCAGAAGCTTCATTGGGATGTTTCAATTGAAGTCACATTGTTGAACAGTCCCTTTCATGGAGCAGGTTTGAAACACTCTTTTTGTAGTATCTGGAAGTGGACATTTCGAGCGCTCTCAGGACTACGGTGAAAAAGGAAATATCTTCCAATACAAGCTAGATAGAAGCAATGTCAGAAACTTTTTCATGATGTATCTACTCAGCTAACAGAGTTGAACCTTTCTTTTGAGAGAGCAGTTTTGAAACACTCTTTTTGTGGAATCTGCAACTGGATATTTGTCTAGCTTTGAGGATTTCGTTGGAAACGTGATTACATACAAAAAGCAGACAGCAGCATTCCCAGAAACTTCTTTCTGATGTTTGCATTCAAGTCACAGAGTTGAACATTCCCTTTCATAGAGCAGGTTTGAAACACTCTTTTTGTAGTATCTGGATGTGGACATTTGGAGCGCTTTCAGACCTATGGTGAAAAAGGAAATATCTTCCCCTGAAAACTACACAGAAGCATTCTCAGAATCTTATTTGTGATGTGCGCCCTCAACTAACAGTGTTGAAGCTTTCTTTTGATAGAGCAGTTTTGAAATCCTCTTTTTGTAAAATCTGCAAGAGGATATTTGGATAGCTTTGAGGATTTCGTTTTAAACGGGATTGCCTTCATATAAACTCTAGACAGAAGCATTCTCAGAAGCTTCATTGGGATGTTTCAATTGAAGTCACAGTGTTGAACAGTCCCTTTCATAGAGCAGGTTTGAAACACTCTTTTTGTAGTATATGGAAGTGGACATTTCGAGCGCTCTCAGGACTGCGGTGAAAAAGGAAATATCTTCCAATAAAAGCTAGATAGAAGCAATGTCAGAAACTTTTTCATGATGTATCTACTCAGCTAACAGAGTTGAACCTTTCTTTTGAGAGAGCAGTTTTGAAACCCTCTTTTTTTGGAATCTGCAAGTGGATATTTGTCTAGCTTTGAGGATTTCGTTGGAAACGGGATTACATATAAAAAGCAGACAGCAGCATTCCCACAAACTTCTTTGTGATGTTTGCATTCAAGTCACAGAGTTGAACATTCCCTTTCATAGAGCAGGTTTGAAACACTCTTTTTGTAGTATCTGGATGTGGACATTTGGAGCGCTTTCAGGCCTATGGTGAAAAAGGAAATATCTTCCCCTGAAAACTAAACAGAAGCATTCTCAGAAACTTATTTGTGATGTGCGCCCTCAACTAACAGTGTTGAACCTTTCTTTTGATAGAGCAGTTTTGAAACCCTCTTTTTGTAAAATCTGCAAGAGGATATTTGGATAGCTTTGAGGATTTCGTTGGAAACGGGATTGTCTTCATATAAACTCTAGACAGAAGCATTCTCAGAAGCTTCATTGGGATGTTTCAATTGAAGTCACAGAGTTGAACATTCCCTTTCATAGAGCAGGTTTGAAACACTCTTTTTGTAGTATCTGGATGTGGACATTTGGAGCGCTTTCAGGCCTGAGGTGAAAAAGGAAATATCTTCCCCTGAAAACTAGACAGAAGCATTCTCAGAAACTTATTTTTGATGTGCGCCCTCAACTAACAGTGTTGAAGCTTTCTTTTGATAGAGCAGTTTTGAAACTCTCTTTTTGTGGAATCTGCAAGTGGATATTTGTCTAGCTTTGAGGATTTCGTTGGAAACGGGATTACATATAAAAAGCAGACAGCAGCATTCCCAGAATCTTGTTTGTGATGTTTGCATTCAAGTCACAGAGTTGAACATTCCCTTTCAGAGACCAGGTTTGAAACACTCTTTTTGTAGTATCTGGATGTGGACATTTGGAGCGCTTTCAGGCCTATGGTGAAAAAGGAAATATCTTCCCCTGAAAACTAGACAGAAGCATTCTCAGAATCTTATTTGTGATGTGCGCCCTCAACTAACAGTGTTGAAGCTTTCTTTTGATAGAGCAGTTTTGAAACACTCTTTTTGTAAAATCTGCAAGAGGATATTTGGATAGCTTTGAGGATTTCATTGGAAACGGGATTGTCTTCATATAAACTCTAGACAGAAGCATTCTCAGAAGCTTCATTGGGATGTTTCAATTGAAGTCACAGTGTTGAACAGTCCCTTTCATAGAGCAGGTTTGAAACACTCTTTTTGTAGTATCTGGAAGTGGACATTTGGAGAGATCTCTGGACTACGGTGAAAAAGGAAATATCTTCCAATAAAAGCTAGATAGAAGCAATGTCAGAAACTTTTTCATGATGTATCTACTCAGCTAACAGAGTTGAACATTTCTTTTGAGAGAGCAGTTTTGAAACACTCTTTTTGTGGAATCTGCAAGTGGATATTTGTCTAGCTTTGAGGATTTCGTTGGAAACGGGATTACATATAAAAAGCAGACAGCAGCATTCCCAGTAACTTCCTTGTGATGTTTGCATTCAAGTCACAGAGTTGAACATTCCCTTTCATAGAGCAGGTTTGAAACACTCTTTTTGTAGTATCTGGATGTGGACATTTGGAGCGCTTTCAGGCCTATGGTGAAAAAGGAAATATCTTCCCCTGAAAACTAGACAGAAGCATTCTGAGAATCTTATTTGTGATGTGCGCCCTCAACTAACAGTGTTGAAGCTTTCTTTTGATAGACCAGTTTTGAAACACTCTTTTTGTAAAATCTGCAAGAAGATATTTGGATAGCTTTGAGGATTTCATTGGAAACGGGATTGTCTTCATATAAACTCTAGACAGAAGCATTCTCAGAAGCTTCATTGGGATGTTTCAATTGAAGTCACAGTGTTTAACAGTCCCTTTCATAGAGCAGGTTTGAAACACTCTTTTTGTTGTATCTGGAAGTGGACATTTGGAGCGCTCTCAGGACTACGGTGAAAAAGGAAATATCTTCCAATAAAAGCTACATAGAAGCAATGTCAGAAACTTTTTCATGATGTATCTACTCAGCTAACAGAGTTGAACCTTTCTTTTGAGAGAGCAGTTTTGAAACACTCTTTTTGTGGAATCTGCAAGTGGATATTTGTCTAGCTTTGAGGATTTCGTTGGAAACTGGATTACATATAAAAAGCAGACAGCAGCATTCCCAGTAACTTCCTTGTGATGTTTGCATTCAAGTCACAGAGTTGAACATTCCCTTTCATAGAGCAGGTTTGAAACACTCTTTTTGTAGTATCTGGATGAGGACATTTGGAGCGCTTTCAGGCCTATGGTGAAAAAGGAAATATCTTCCCCTGAAAACTAGACAGAAGCATTCTGAGAATCTTATTTGTGATGTTCGCCCTCAACTAACAGTGTTGAAGCTTTCTTTTGATAGAGCAGTTTTGAAACACTCTTTTTGTAAAATCTGCAAGAGGATATTTGGATAGCTTTGAGGATTTCATTGGAAACGGGATTGTCTTCATATAAACTCTAGACAGAAGCATTCTCAGAAGCTTCATTGGGATGTTTCAATTGAAGTCACAGTGTTGAACATTCCCTTTCATAGAGCAGGTTTGAAACACTCTTTTTGTAGTATCTGGATGTGGACATTTGGAGCGCTTTCAGGCCTATGGTGAAAAAGGAAATATCTTCCCCTGAAAACTAGACAGAAGCATTCTCAGAATCTTATTTGTGATGTGCGCCCTCAACTAACAGTGTTGAAGCTTTCTTTTGATAGAGCAGTTTTGAAACACTCTTTTTGTAAAATCTGCAAGAGGATATTTGGATAGATTTGAGGATTTCGTTGGAAACGGGATTGTCTTCATATAAACTCTAGACAGAAGCATTCTCAGAAGCTTCATTGGGATGTTTCAATTGAAGTCACAGTGTTGAACAGTCCCTTTCATAGAGCAGGTTTGAAACAATCTTTTTGTAGTATCTGGAAGTGGACATTTGGAGCGCTCTCAGGACTGCGGTGAAAAAGGAATTATCTTCCAATAAAAGGTAGATAGAAGCAATGTCAGAAACTTTTTCATGATGTATCTACTCAGCTAACAGAGTTGAACCTTTCTTTTGAGAGAGCAGTTTTGAAACCCTCTTTTTGTGGAATCTGCAAGTGGATATTTGTCTAGCTTTGAGGATTTCGTTGGAAACGGGATTACATATAAAAAGCAGACAGCAGCATTCCCAGTAACTTCTTTGTGATGTTTGCATTCAAGTCACAGAGTTGAACATTCCCTTTCATAGAACAGGTTTGAAACATTCTTTTTGTAGTATCTGGATGTGGACATTTGGAGCGCTTTCAGGCCTATGGTGAAAAAGGAAATATCTTCCCCTGAAAACTAGACAGAAGCATTCTCAGAATCTTATTTGTGATGTGCGCCCTCAACTAACAGTGTTGAAGCTTTCTTTTGATAGAGCAGTTTTGAAACACACTTTTTGTAAAATCTGCAAGAGGATATTTGGATAGATTTGAGGATTTCGTTGGAAACGGGATTGTCTTCATATAAACTCTAGGCAGAAGCATTCTCAGAAGCTTCATTGGGATGTTTAAATTGAAGTCACAGTGTTGAACAGTCCCTTTCATAGAGCAGGTTTGAAACACTGTTTTTGTAGTATCTGGAAGTGGACATTTTGAGAGTTCTCAGGAATACGGTGAAAAAGGAAATATCTTCCAATAAAAGCTAGATAGAAGCAATGTCAGAAACTTTTTCATGATGTATCTACTCAGCTAACAGAGTTGAACCTTTCTTTTCAGAGAGCAGTTTTGAAACACTCTTTTTGTGGAATCTGCAAGTGGATATTTGTCTAGCTTTGAGGATTTCGTTGGAAACGGGATTACTTATAAAAAGCAGACAGCAGCATTCCCAGGAACTTCTTTGTGATGTTTGCATTCAAGTCACAGAGTTGAACATTCCCTTTCATAGAGCAGGTTTGAAACACTCTTTTTGTAGTATCTGGATGTGGACATTTGGAGCGCTTTCAGGCCTATGGTGAAAAAGGAAATATCTTCCCCTGAAAACTAGACAGAAGCATTCTCAGAAACTTCTTTGTGATGTGCGCCCTCAACTAACAGTGTAGAAGCTTTCTTTTGATAGAGCAGTTTTGAAACACTCTTTTTGTGGAATCTGCAAGTGGATATTTGTCTAAGTTTGAGGATTTCGTTGGAAACGGGATTACATATGAAAAGCAGACAGCAGCATTCCCAGAATCTTCTTTGTGATGTTTGCATTCAAGTCACAGAGTTGAACATTCCCTTTCATAGAGCAGGTTTGAAAAACTCTTTTTGTAGTATCTGGATGTGGACATTTGGAGCGTTTTCAGGCCTATGGTGAAAAAGGAAATATCTTCCCCTGAAAACTGGACAGAAGCATTCTCAGAATCTTATTTGTGATGTGCGCCCTCAACTTACCGTGTTGAAGCTTTCTTTTGATAGAGCAGTTTTGAAACACTCTTTTTGTAAAATCTGCAAGAGGATATTTGGATAGCATTGAGGATTTCGTTGGAAACGGGATTGTCTTCATATAAACTCTAGAAAGAAGCATTCTCAGGAGCTTCATTGGGATGTTTCAATTGAAGTCACAGTGTTGAACAGTCCCTTTCATAGAGCAGGTTTGAAACACTCTTTTTGTAGTATCTGGAAGTGGACATTTGGAGCGCTCTCAGGACTACGGTGAAAAAGGAAATATCTTCCAATAAAAGCTACATAGAAGCAATGTCAGAAACTTTTTCATGATGTATCTACTCAGCTAACAGAGTTGAACCTTTCTTTTCAGAGAGCAGTTTAGAAACACTCTTTTTATGGAATCTGCAAGTGGATATTTGTCTAGCTTTCAGGATTTCGTTGGAAACGGGATTACATATAAAAAGCAGACAGCAGCATTCCCAGAAACTTCTTTGTGATGTTTGCATTCAAGTCACAGAGTTGAACATTCCCTTTCATAGAGCAGGTTTGAAACACTCTTTTTGTAGTATCTGGATGTGGACATTTGGAGCGCTTTCAGGCCTATGGTGAAAAAGGAAATATCTTGCCCTGAAAACTAGACAGAAGCATTCTCAGAAACTTATTTGTGATGTTCGCCCTCAACTAACAGTGTTGAAGCTTTCTTTTGATAGAGCAGTTTTGAAAAACTCTTTTTGTGGAATCTGCAAGTGGATATTTGTCTAGCTTTGAGTATTTCGTTGGAAAAGGGATTACATATAAAAAGCAGACAGCAGCATTCCCAGAATCTTCTTTGTGATGTTTGCATTCAAGTCACAGAGTTGAACATTCCCTTTCATAGAGCAGGTTTGAAACACTCTTTTTATAGTATCTGGATGTGGACATTTGGAGCGCTTTCAGGCCTATGGTGAAAAAGGAAATATCTTCCCCTGAAAACTAGACAGAAGCATTCTCAGAATCTTATTTGTGATGTGCGCCCTCAACTAACAGTGTTGAAGCTTTCTTTTGATAGAGCAGTTTTGAAACCCTCTTTTTGTAAAATCTGCAAGAGGATATTTGGATAGCTTTGAGGATTTCCTTGGAAAGGGGATTGTCTTCATATAAAATCTAGACAGAAGCATTCTCAGAAGCTTCATTGGGATGTTTCAATTGAAGTCACAGTGTTGAACAGTCCCTTTCATAGAGCATTTTTGAAACACTCTTTTTGTAGTATCTGGAATTGGAAATTTTGAGAGACCTCAGGAATACGGTGATAAAGGAAATATCTTCCAATAAAAGCTAGATAGAAGCAATGTCAGAAACTTTTTCATGATGTATCTACTCAGCTAACAGCGTTGAACCTTTCTTTTGAGAGAGCAGTTTTGAAACACTCTTTTTGTGGAATCTGCAAGTGGATATTTGTCTAGCTTTGAGGATTTCGTTGGAAACGGGATTACATATAAAAAGCAGACAGCAGCATTCCCAGTAACTTCTTTGTGATGTTTGCATTCAAGTGTCAGAGTTGAACATTCCCTTTCATAGAGCAGGTTTGAAACACTCTTTTTGTAGTATCTGGATGTGGACATTTGGAGCGCTTTCAGGCCTATGGTGAAAAAGGAAATATCTTCCCCTGAAAACTAGACAGAAACATTCTCACAATCTTATTTGTGATGTGCGCCCACAACTAACAGTGTTGAAGCTTTCTTTTGATAGAGTAGTTTTGAAACACTCTTTTTGTAAAATTTGCAAGAGGATATTTGGATAGCTTTGAGGATTTCGTTGGAAACGGGATTGTCTTCATATAAACTCTAGACAGAAGCATTCTCAGAAGCTTCATTGGGATGTTTCAATTGAAGTCACAGTGTTGAACAGTCCCTTTCATAGAGCAGGTTTGAAACACTCTTTTTGTAGTTTCTGGAAGTGGACATTTGGAGAGATCTCATTAATACGGTGATAAAGGAAATATCTTCCAATAAAAGGTAGATAGAAGCAATGTCAGAAACTTTTTCATGATGTATTTACTCAGCTAACAGAGTTGAACCTTTCTTTTGAGAGAGCAGTTTTGAAACACTCTTTTTGTGGAATCTGCAAGTGGATATTTGTCTAGCTTTGAGGATTTCGTTGGAAACGGGATTACATATAAAAAGCAGACAGCAGCATTTCCAGAAACTTCTTTGTGATGTTTGCATTCAAGTCACAGAGTTGAACATTCCCTTTCATAGAGCAGGTTTGAAACACTCTTTTTGTAGTATCTGGATGTGGACATTTGGAGCGCTTTCAGGCCTATGGTGAAAAAGGAAATATCTTCCCCTGAAAACTAGACAGAAGCATTCTCAGAAACTTATTTGTGATGTGCGCCCTCAACTAACAGTGTAGAAGCTTTCTTTTGATAGAGTAGTTTTGAAACACTCTTTTTGTGGAATCTGCAAGTGGATATTTGTCTAGCTTTGAGGATTTCGTTGGAAATGGGATTACATATAAAAAGCAGACAGCAGCATTCCCAGAATCTTCTTTGTGATGTTTGCATTCAAGTCACAGTGTTGAACATTCCCTTTCATAGAGCAGGTTTGAAACACTCTTTTTGTAGTATCTGGATGTGGACATTTGGAGCGCTTTCAGGCCTATGGTGAAAAAGGAAATATCTTCCCCTGAAAACTAGACAGAAGCATTCTCAGAATCTTATTTGTGATGTGCGCCCTCAACTAACAGTGTTGAAGCTTTCTTTTGAAAGAGCAGTTTTGAAACACTCTTTTTGTAAAATCTGCAAGAGGATATTTGGATAGCTTTGAGGATTTCGTTGGAAACGGGATTGTCTTCATATAAACTCTAGACAGAAGCATTCTCAGAAGCTTCATTGGGATGTTTCAATTGAAGTCACAGTGTTGAACAGTCCCTTTCATAGAGCAGGTTTGAAACACTCTTTTTGTAGTATCTGGAAGTGGACATTTGGAGCGCTCTCAGGACTACGGTGAAAAAGGAAATATCTTCCAATAAAAGCTACATAGAAGCAATGTCAGAAACTTTTTCATGATGTATCTACTCAGCTAACAGAGTTGAACCTTTCTTTTCAGAGAGCAGTTTAGAAACACTCTTTTTATGGAATCTGCAAGTGGATATTTGTCTAGCTTTCAGGATTTCGTTGGAAACGGGATTACATATAAAAAGCAGACAGCAGCATTCCCAGAAACTTCTTTGTGATGTTTGCATTCAAGTCACAGAGTTGAACATTCCCTTTCATAGAGCAGGTTTGAAACACTCTTTTTGTAGTATCTGGATGTGGACATTTGGAGCGCTTTCAGGCCTATGGTGAAAAAGGAAATATCTTGCCCTGAAAACTAGACAGAAGCATTCTCAGAAACTTATTTGTGATGTTCGCCCTCAACTAACAGTGTTGAAGCTTTCTTTTGATAGAGCAGTTTTGAAACACTCTTTTTGTGGAATCTGCAAGTGGATATTTGTCTAGCTTTGAGTATTTCGTTGGAAACGGGATTACATATAAAAAGCAGACAGCAGCATTCCCAGAATCTTCTTTGTGATGTTTGCATTCAAGTCACAGAGTTGAACATTCCCTTTCATAGAGCAGGTTTGAAACACTCTTTTTATAGTATCTGGATGTGGACATTTGGAGCGCTTTCAGGCCTATGGTGAAAAAGGAAATATCTTCCCCTGAAAACTGGACAGAAGCATTCTCAGAATCTTATTTGTGATGTGCGCCCTCAACTAACAGTGTTGAAGCTTTCTTTTGATAGAGCAGTTTTGAAACACTCTTTTTGTAAAATTTGCAAGAGGATATTTGGATAGCTTTGAGGATTTCGTTGGAAACGGGATTGTCTTCATATAAACTCTAGACAGAAGCATTCTCAGAAGCTT